>NT_187642.1:0-155532 GCF_000001405.40 Homo sapiens | reverse complement strand
GAATTCCCCATGAGTCCTGTGACCTCAGCCCACACGGGGACCTACAGGTGCTACGGCTCACTCAGCTCCGACCCCTACCTGCTGTCTCACCCCAGTGGCCCCGTGGAGCTCGTGGTCTCAGGTGAGGGCGCTGACCCTGTCCTCTCTGAGCTCAAAGGCTCAGCTCAGGCCCTGCCCCCAGCAGAGCTCTGGACACTAAGGAAAGAGGGGAGTGAAGGGAGAGGGTCCGCAGGGGAGGGTCCAGCCCATGGGAAGATGGAAATAGACAGGGACCTCCCACCCCTGGCTCCCACCCCTGAAGTCTCAGTAGAGTAAAGTGCAGGGAGGGCTGGGAGGAGACGGGGGGTGAACCTCAAAGGAGTTGAGATTAGACTGAGGGTGGAAGACGGAGGCCCCACCTGCTCCCATCCTGGTGTCTCCACCTCAGAATCAGAGCCTCTGTGTCCCAGTCCCCAACAGACGCCCTCCTGGAGAGAGAAGCATCCAGGCTGCCGGTGCCACCTGCATCCACCCCCGACCCCCCCCCACCCCGCCCCACTTCCTGCTTTCCCCTGCAGCCTCCCCAGCACTCAGCGCACACCTGAGCCTCACAGGGACTTGCACGTGCTCCCGCAGCAGCTCAGGGAATGTGCACCGCTCCTCTTCTGCGCCGTTGACATTTTTTATTTGGGTTTTTAAAATCTCATATTGGCCTTTTTGTCCAAGCTGGTGAAAGTAGATTTGCAGCATCACCTATTTTTATTCTCACCCGGTTTCGTAATAGCCCTGATCTCATGTGCTCCCTGAGGTTTTGTAAACTTCAGGTAGAAATGTGGACTTCCTTCGTTCTGGACATTTGCTATGGAGGGGGTAGGGCTTATCTTTTCAGAAAAAGTCAAATGACTGGTACCACTCCTTGAAACCCTACAGCACTTTCCAGACCTCAGAGGGAGGGAGAGAGAGGCAGAGACAGAGACAGAGAGACAGAGAGAGAGATATTGGGGCCGCTCTTTCCTGGCTGGTTCATCCTGGCCTATTCTCAATCCACCAAGGCCCCGAAGCTCATCTCCCCTCCTCCTCTGCCTCCTCCTCCACCCTGTAGACAAGCGGCCATTCCTTTCTGAAGAACAGGCTGAGACCTTTCTGGGACCTGCTCTTTCTGGAGCCTCTGTTGCTCCCTGTCTGGGTCTCCACACGCCTCCTTCCTGGCCCTTTTTCCTATTGAGGAATCAGCTTCAATGTCACCTCCAAGTGTGACCTTCACTGACGACACAGCTCAGCCCAGTCCTGCCTGCTTCTCATTTATGTCAAGTAATTAACCAACCTACACCATGCGGCTGAATTCCTTCTCTCTCTCTTCCACTCTCTGCACATACGTGTGTGTGTGTGTGTGCGCGTGTGTGGTCACACCGACATCTTACGTGACATTGAAACCTAGTTATCCGTATATCTATACAAATAATATATATTCACACATAAATATAGGTCTCTACCAATATATCTAAAACCATTGCTACGACTAGTAAATTTCCACTGCTGTGTTTCTATATGTTTGCTGTTTGTCTCCAGGTGAACCCACACTTCAAGAAGGCAGAGATAGTTTTTAAGGCCCACTATATATATAAAACAGATATATATTTGTGTTTGTGTTTTTCTGTGTGTGTATCACATTCTACCTGTTGCTGCCTATACGAATAATTAGCTACCTAGAGATTAAATGGACGATGAAACTCCAGGTGAAGTGGCTGAGGGCATGAAGGGGAGGCAGCCCCAGACTTTCACCCCTTTGTGCTTCTGACATTGAGGCTCCCCTGATGACTAACCCTCATCCACGGAGCCTGGGTCCTCAGCTGGTGGATCCGTGAAACTCTCATCTCCGGGGGAGTTGGCTCATGTTCTCCTGTGTCCCAGGCTGCACAGAGAGCACACAGGCCTCAGTGACCTCTGTACTGGGGACCACTTTCCTTGCAGATCCTGAGCTCTCAGGATGCAGGAAAACTCTCTCCCAGATGACTCAGGAGCAATGTTTAAATCCATAGAACACAGGAAAACTGAAATCGTTCAATGAGGAGACTAGAGGGAATCCTGCTAGCGGAGGAAGAGGTTTTTTTTTTTTTTTTAGAAATTCTGTAAAAGTCACATCATGAGACATTAAGTAATAAAAAAAAAATTGCAGAGCCCAGGTGAGAGGCTGGGCTCAGGTCTCTTTTTCTCTGTTTTGATTCTCTGGAGCAGCTGATACCCTCAGCCCATCACAAAACAAGTCTGACTCTGAGACTGGTATGTGAGGAGATACTCTCAGTGATGGGGCTGGCACTGAGGGTTGGGTCCTGTGAAGGGGAGGTGGGTGCCCTGGGTGGACAATCTGATCCACCCTGACCTCTGTGACCTCTTTGTCCACCATCCCCAGCCTCACACCTTCAGGATTACGCAGTGGAGAATCTCATCCACATGGGCGTGGCTGGCTTGATCCTGGTGGTCCTCGGGATTCTGTCATTTGAGGCTTGGCACAGCCAGAGAAGCTTCCCAAGATGCAGCCGGGAGGTGAACAGCAGAGAGGATAATGTACTTTATAGAGTCGTGAAGCCTCAGGAACAGATCTGATGATCCCAGGAGGTTCTGGAAGAAAATCTAGGGCCGATGCTATCTGGACTGTCTGCTGGTCATTTCCAGAGGAAGGAATCAATGTCCGAGTGCAGGGACATTTTCTGGGGTGATCCATGGAGAACCATTAAAATGTGATACCTTTCCTCTCCATTAATGTTGACTTTCCTTGGTTGGATCTGCCTCTTTTCCCACACTTAGACATGAGGCTCCATCCCACATGGCAGCGTTGGGTCCACACCTCTGCACACCTGCATGCTCTGGTCCATGGCGTGTCACACAGTCCTCTTCATTTCTCATTGCCACACTTCCTGGTGTACTTTACTGGGTCTTCATGTCTTCAGTTCAGAGTTCCGCACCTGGTTTAGGAACTAATTCAACGGGAGAAGATCAGAGTCCGACCAGGAAAAGATAAATGCACCGTGATGCCCTCACCTCCTGTGTGGACCCTATGAGCTCTTCCCTCCTTATCAGATGCTATCTGTGTAGTTTCTCCTGAAATATCACCACCTGGAATCAACACACTGGCATTTGAAGTCACGACCCAATGGTATGCTAATTCTGAAAAAGACATTTTTTGAAATGCTATGATTAGTGGCATTTACCAATTTCCTTGACGTAAATTCTTTTTTCATGGCCATAATCAAGATGCCAACGAGACATCCCTGAATGCAGGGTTGGGAAGCGTTGGACAGACTTGTCTTCACTCATAAGCACCAGGCATCTGATAGCTCACGTATACATCTTATTACCTTCCATTTTAGAGTGAATAATCATTTCTACTTCAGTATTTTGGCACAGGTAAAAGCAGTCCCATTACTGCGCGTATACCCAAAGGAATATAAATCATTCTATTGCAAAGATACATGCACACATGTGTTCATCGCAGCACTATTCACAATAGCAAAGACATAGAATCAACCCAAATGCCCATCAATGATAGACTGGATAAAGAAAATGTGAGACATATACACCACGGAATACTATGAAGCCATAAAAAGAAACAAGATCATGTCCTTTGCAGGGACATGGATGGAGCTGGAAACCATTATCCTCAGGAAACTAACACAGGAACAGGAAATCAAACGCTGCATGTTCTCACTTACAAGTGGGTGCTGAACAATGAGAATGCGTGAACACAGGGAGGGGAACAACACACACTGGGGCCTGTCGGGGGGGGGTGGGGTAGGGGTAGGGAGAGCATTAGGAAAAATAGCTAATGTATGCTGGGCTTAATACCTAGGTGATGGGTTGACAGGTGCAGGAAACCACCATGGCGCACATTGACCTATGCAATAAGCCCACACATTCTGCACATGTACCCCGGAACTTAAAATAAAAATAAAAATTAAAATTAAATTATGACACCATGATCCTAGCATATCCAAAAAAGACAAAAATGCCAATATCAAATGTCGGAGAAAATAGGGCTGAATTAAAAATCCAATACAACGCCGGGCGCAGTGGCTCACGCCTGTAATCCCAGCACTTTGGGAGGCCAAAGTGGGTGGATCACTTGAAGTCAGGAGTTTGAGACCAGCCTGGCCAAACGTGGTGAAACCCTGCCTCTACTAAAAATACAAAAATTAGCCGGGTGTGGTGGCACTCACCTGTAGTCCTAGCTACTAGGGAGGCTGAGGCAGGAGAATCACTTGAACCCGGGAGGCGGAGGTTGCAATGAGCTGAGATCATGCCACTGAACTCCAGCCTGGGTGACAGAGCGAGACTCCGTCTCAAAAAAAAAAAAAAAAAAAAAAAACCCTCAAAAGCTCAGGCAGCAAAAGCAAAAATAGGCAAATGAGATCATAGCAAACTGCAAACCTTCTGCACAATCAAGGAAACAAACAGCAGAGTGAAGAGACCACCTACAGAATGGGAAAGAATATTTGCAAGCAAGAGATTAATCTCCAGAAAATACAAGGAGCTCAAACAATGCAGAGGTTTTGAAGGATGGTGATGAGAAGGTTCTGCTACTTACAGAAAGGAAGTTTAGGAGAAACAAAACCACAAACCTAGGTGGTGGGATGGCTTGATCTGCTTCTGTCTGTGACTCAGTTAACAGTCTTAAACACATCTCCCTAAGCCTCCTTCCCCCGGTGGGATTCCTGGGTCTTGTGAGGACCTCATCGGTCCCTCTGGTAAACCCAGGCACAGAGTGGAGCAGCTCTTGTTTTCTCAGGATCTTCCCCTTCACATACAATTAACGCACCCACACGATGCTACTCTTAGAACCCTTCAAATAAATGTTCCCCGGTTCATTCACTACCAGAATCCAAGCTCAGCTTGTTCCCCAGCTTAGGACTGAGTGGTATCTTGGAGGTAGTTTCCACCATAGCCCCCTTCCTCTGCTATAAGGCTCAGTGACACACCAGAGACACCCCCTCCAGCCAGGCTCCTGGAAGGTCTGGATGAAGACTGGGATGCTGAGGCATTGCTCAGCAATGTGGCTTAACTCAAACTTCTATGTGAAACTTCCAACCACTTTCAGCAAGGGGTCACTTCCAGCGTCTTGGGGTGTGAGGGCACCTTGGTTGGTCCCTGCAATATCAGACCCTATAAAGATCCTACAAACATGTTGCAGACTCTTTGAAGATTCTGGCACTTTCAGACATGCTGTTGGGAAATGGTGACACCCATAACCTTCTAGTTCCAGGACAGGGAGCCTTAGCCCAGGGCTATGTTTTCTGAGGGTCCTCAAAGTAAACAGTTCTATGTGCCAGGAGAACCCTAAATCTCATATGGTTCTAAGGGCAGAAAGCCACACACGCACCGGCAAAAAGCAAGAGATTCAAGGAAAAGCTGAGCAAAGACAGACAGGAAAACACACACATGATGAGCCAGCTTGTAGAGCTAGAACTGAGATGGAGAGAGGCACGAGTGGGTAACAGAGTGTGCTCCCCAGAACAGGTGGAGAGAATGCCTTTTTCATGCCCTGAGGATAGGCTGGGTAAGGCTTGTGCTCGACAGTCAAGGACTATTTTTTTCCCCAGGCGTCTACAAGAGACCTTCCTTCTCAGCTCAACTGTGCCCTGCAGTAAGTAATGATGGAGAGAATGTGACTTTGCTCTGCAGCTCTGGAAGCTCATTTGACCTGTGCCTTCTAACGAGGAAGGTAAGGCCCCTGGACACTGGCTCACTGGGGTGCAGAGACAGAGTGGGGCATTCAGGCCAACTTCTCTCTGGGTCTTGGGGCTGGTGATGGGACCTCTAGATGCTGCAGCTCTCTGTCGATGGCTCTGCCTGTGAGTGATCAGCCCTAGATGACCACTGTTACTGGGGGTAGCCCATGCCTGCTGCATGCCCTGTGAAACACTAAATCATATAGCCACGTCTGAGGGACAGCCTGCTGGAGACATGGGAATCTTAGGGATTCCAGACAAAATGAAGCAATGAGAAACACAAAGAGGAAAAGAGAGGTTGAGTATGACAGTGGTGTCAGGGTGTAGGGTGGTAGACAGGGCAGCTCCACACTCTCCACTGCTTCCTGTCTGGAGGCCCACTTTGGGGTCCTACTTATCCAGGTGAGTGAAGGAAGAGGTCAGGACAAACACAGGAGGTGAAGCCAGATACAGTGTGGGGAGATAAGCAGTGGCCTCAGCCTCTAGCCCTTTTCCATCTTCCAGAAGCCCCTCCTGAGCTCTCATCACAGACAGATTTCCCATTTGGAAACCCAGATATTTATCATGCCGGGGGGGGGAGGCAATGTCTCTTGATTATGGGGACTTTCCATCACCAGGCACCTGCTAGTCCTCTCTATACCTTCCCTTCAGGAAAGGAATTGTCCCTCATGGGATTCCAGGGAAGAGACCCCAGGACCCCTATCAGTCACTAGGGAGATGACAGAGTAGAGGAAGTCAGGGGACCAACCCTCCACAGAGAATGGTCCTACTTCAGTGGGGTGAGGGAAACTCTCACTCATCCATTTGCTGTCCTGTTACCTCGGAACCCTAAGAGAACTTGTTAGTCACACACAGAATCTACCCCTGAATGTGGTGTGCAAAGTGGGGCTCTTAGCCTCCAGTGTGAAGTCCCTGGGAAGATGGAATGTCCCTGTGTGAGTGAAGGCTGTGCCACCGCCCAGCTATGTGGCCTTGGGCTAGGCAACCCCTCCCAGGTCCCCAGTTCCCCATCTGCATCGGAGACTGTGGCCAGTGTGGGAATCCACAAGGCCCTTCAGCCTCCAATGCTCTGGGACAGAGGCCTCGTCCACGGGGAGGAAGGGGTCAGAGTGACCTGAGTCCCTACTCAGGAGCGAGTCTAATCCACTCTCCATCGGGGCCTGTGGGGAAGGGAAGATGAAGAAACGGAGCCTGCACCTGGCTATGTGGGCGCAGTAGATTAAGGGGAGGATGAGGGTTCCTGAGAGTGTGTCATGTGGCAGAGACCCTGCAGCACACTCAGGAAGGGCTCTGGAAGGATCCAAGGAAATTTTCCAAGAAGAGGGCAGAGTAAGTGACAGAGACCCTCAACCATGGATTTCACTGAGGTGCCCATGATGACATAGGGAGAACGGGGGTGTCTGGGCAGGAAGAATATCGTCAGGGTGAAATGAATGGTGATGAGCTTCGTGTCAGAGCTCCTGTGGAGGGAGGGGCCTGGCCCACATGAAAAGGTCTCTGATCCTACCCCAGCCCCCAGCCCCTGTTCTCCAGGATGACACTGTGGGAATTCCATCAGGAGGGGTGTGATAGGGCTGGTCTTCCTGGCTCGATTCACAACACTGGCTGGGGACTGGGAACCCATGGGGAGCCACAGGTGGAAAGGGAGGAGCCTCAGTGAACCCAGCAGGAACAAACATAGGGTCTGACATGATGGAACTCACTTCCTGGAGGCCAAGAAAGACACTTGCAGGACAAAAGGGAAAGAGCGGTGGCTTGCTTAGTTCCATTCACTGACAACCCACAGGAGATGTCCAGTCCTGTTTTGATTTATTATTTTATTTTATTATATTTTATTTTATTTTATTTTATTTTGACATGGAGTTTTGCTCCTATTGGCCAGGCTGGAGTGCAATGGCACGATCTTGACTCACTGCAACCTCCACCTCTCAGGTTCAAGCGATTCTCCTGCCTCAGCCTCCTGCATAGCTGGGATTACAGGCGACTGCCACCACAGCCAGGTAATGTTTGTATTTTTAGTAGAGATGAGGTTTTGCCATCTTGGCCAGGCTGGTCTCAAACTCCTGATCTCATGTGATCCGCCTGTATCAGACTGCCAAAGTGTTGGGATTACAGGCGTGAGCCACCACACCCAGCCTTTTGTATTTTTAGTAGAGATGGGGTTTCACCATGTTGGTCAGGCTGGTCTTAAACTCCTGACCTCAGGTGATCCATCCACCTCGGCCACCCAAAGTGCTGGGAGTACAGATGTTAGCCACCGTACCCAGTGAGAGTTTCAGTGCTCTATCGGATTCCCTGCCTACTCCATGTTGCATGTAATGTTCCACCTCAGGGATGTTTCTCTCCTTTCTGTCTCCTTCCTCTTCTCCTTTTCCTTTTTTCTTTCTAATTTTTATTTTTTTGAGACAGAGCCTTGCTCTGTTACCCAGGCTAGAGTACAGTGGCACGATCCCAGCTCACTGCAACCTCTGCCTCCTGGGTTCAAGAGATTCTCCTGACTCAGCCTCTCGAGTAGCTGGGATTACAGGCACCCGCCATCACACCCAGCTAGTTTTTGTATTTTTAGTAGAGACGAGGTTTCACCATGTTGGCCAGACTGGTCTTGAACTCCTGCCCTCAGGTAATCCACCCGCCTGTGGCCCCCCAAAGTGCTGGGATTACAGGCGTGAGTCACCACTCCCAGCCCTGAATGATCTTTCCTCTTTAGTGTGTTCTCACAACCACCTCTCACTGAGCTTTCTTGTTTTTTGTTTTTGTTTTTGTTTTTGTTTTTGTTTTTGGCAGAGTCTGGCTTTGTTGCCTATGCTGGAGTGCAGTGGTGCAATCTCAGCTCACTGCAACCTCCGTCTCCTGGGTTCAAGCGATTCTCCCACCTCAGCCTCCTGAGTAGCTGGGATTACAGGCACCCACCACCACACCCAGCTAATTTTTGCATTTTTAGTAGACACAGGGTTTCACCATGTTGGTCAGGCTGGTCTCGAACTCCTGACCTTGTGATCTGCCAGCCTCAGCCTCCCAAAGTGCTGGAATTACAGGCATGAGCCACCACTCCCAGCCCTGGATTATCTTTCCTCTTTAGTGTGTTCTCACAACTACCTCTCACTGCTGGGTTTTCTCTCTTTCTTTTTTTTTTTTTTTTTTTTTTTTTTTGAGACAGTCCGGCTTTGTTGCCCAGGCTGGAGTGCAGTGGCGCGATCTCGGCTCACTGCAAGCTCCACCTCCCAGGTTCAAGCGATTCTCCCACCTCAGCCTCCCTAGTAGCTGGGATTACAGGCGCATGCCAGCACACCCAGCTAGTTTTTGTATTTTTAGTAGAGACAGGGGTTTCACCATGTTGGTCAGGCTGGTCTTGAACTCCTGACCTTGTGATCTTCCTGCCTCGGCCTCCCAAAGTGCTGGGATTACAGGTGTAAGCCACTGCACCCAGCCAGCTTTCTCATTCTTATCCCTTAGTTCTCTGCCAGGGAATAAGATAGAAACCATTCCCTCAACCACATTCTAGTCATGGTCCCTATTCTCATGTTTCCACTTCTCTCTCTTTGGTAATAAATCAATTAATTGAGAAACAAGTAGCTAAATGTTCATCTTCTGCTAGTCTGCATCCCCTTATTTTCCCAGAGCCTCCCCTAATGAAACTGACTTTATTTACTGAACGCAGGAAATGGGTCTCTCCAGATCAGGATGACTTTCTGCTGGGAAATATTTGTCTTTGCATCAGTGGGGAAAAAGAAAGCCGATGTCATGAGTGGAGGCTCTGAGAAAATAAGGGCTGTGTTTTCAGTTTAGACCCAGCTAAGTTGGGAGCTGACATAGATATGATGTTGGGTCCACCCTCCACGGGCAGGTTTTCAGACAAAGGATCCCTGGCAATCAGGGGACACCTCAGGTCTGGGCTGAGATGTGTGCAGAGGGCCTGGGTCCTCCTGAGCCCCTGCACTGGGGGGGGAATAAGAGACAGGCCCAGCAAGGGGCTGTCCACTTCCTGTGGGTTCACAGCTGTGGGGACCCAGGCAGGCGGCAGCAGGCTCTGACTTAACCACATCCGTGCATCTGTCTGTCATGGAGGGCCATGTGGTCACCTGTCCCACAGCTGGAGCACGCAGAGCAGGCATCATGGTGTCCATCCTCACTGTTCTTCTGTGCCTCAGTCAGTGGTGGAGAGACGAGGGACAGGAGGGGCACTGGGCTGAGGTGGGGAGGGTCCCACAGCAGCCTTGTTCACCAGAGAGCCTCAGGGCTCCAGTGGCTACTGGTGCTCCAACAGGAAGGGAAGCAGCCACACCTCTGTGTTCCAAATCCCCCACAGGAAACTCTTCTCCATGGCTGAGTCTGGGCCAGAAAGCCCAAGCACTTGCAGGTGAGTCTCTGCTAACCTCCCATGCCTGACCTCACACTCAGCACCTGGACTCTCATCTCAGGGGCTTCTGAACTGAGGGTGAGAAAATCAAGAGGGTCTGTGACCTGAGCTGGGAATGAGGAGCGGGGGAGGTCTGTGGACCCCAGCCTGTGGTTTCTTCCAGGGACCCTCCCCAAACCCAGCCTCTGGGCTGAGCCAGGCTCTGTGATTACCTGGGAGAGCCCCATGACCCTCTGGTGCCAGGGGACCCTGGATACCCAGGGTTACTATCTCACCAAGGAAGGAAACCCCATGACCTGGTACCAACAGAGCCCACCAGAGCCCAGGAACAAGACCAACTTCTTCATCCCATCCATGAGAGAGCACCATGCAGGGAGATACCACTGTCACTATCTCAGCCCTGCAGGCTGGTCAGAGCGCAGCGAGCCCCTGGAGCTGGTGGTGACAGGTAAGAGGACACTCAGGGGTCCCAGCCCCAGGCTCTGCCTGCAGGAAGGGGGTCGGCTCTCAAGGGCATCTCCGTTCTAATAACTCAGCCCTGGGGGATGATGTGGGACGCGTGAGCCCCATTTAAGACAGTGTCTCCTTCTCTCCTAGGAGCCCACAGAAAACCCACTCTCTCAGCCCTGCCGAGCCCTGTGGTGACCTCAGGAGAGAACGTGACCATCCAGTGTAGCTCAAGGGTGGGATTTCACAGGTTCATTTTGATTGAGGAAGGAGAAAACAAGCTCTCCTGGATGCTGGACTCACAGGAACTCTCCAAGGGGCTGTCCCTTGTCCCTGGCCCTGTTCCCTGTGGGCCGTGTGGCTGCCAGTCACCGGTGGATGTTCAGATGCTATGGGCATTACACGAACTTCCCCTGGGTGTGGTCGGAACCCAGTGATACCATGGAGATCCTGGTCTTAGGTATGGATGTCTTCCTCCTTGCCCTATTTATTTTTGAGAACTTACTCTCACGGAGCCCCATGTAGGAGGGTGGAACAAGGGAAGTTTGGGACTCCTGAGCCCAGAGACACTGAGTATGAGAGACAGTGAGACCTGCAGGGCCAGGAGGGGAGAAGGAAGGGGTGTGGGAGGAACCAGCCCTCCTAGTCCCGACTCTTCTTTCCCTCCAGGCGTGTCTAGGAAGCCCTCCCTCCTGACCCTGCAGGGCCCTGTCGTGGCCCCTGGGGAGAATCTGACCCTCCAGTGTGGCTCTGATGTCGGCTATGACAAATTCACTCTGTACAAGGAGGGGGGACATGACCTCGTCCAGGGCTCTGGCCGGCAGCCCCAGGCTGGGCTCTCCCAGGCCAACTTCACCCTGGGCCCTGTGAGGGTCTCCCACGGGGGCCAGTACAGATGCTACGGTGCACACAACCTCTCCTCCGAGTGGTCGGCCCCCAGTGACCCCCTGAGCATCCTGATCGCAGGTGAGGAGCCCAGCAGGTTCAGTCAGGGACCCACGCTCCGCACAGGCCCTGCTGGGGGAGCCCAGGTGGTGATGGCCAGGATGAGGGGTGGGGGTCCCAAGGGAGGGAGAGACAGACAGAGACAGGGGATGGGTGGGTAGAGGGAGACTCAGAGAAAACAGAGACAGAGACTGAGGGTCCCAGAGAGAGGCCTGGGGAGGTGTCAGCTCAGAACGAGGTGGGGCAGCCCCTCACCCATCCTTCTTCTCTCCAGGACAGATCCGTGGCAGACCCTCCCTCTCGGTGCAGCCGGGCCCCACGGTGGCCTCAGGAGAGAACGTGACCCTGCTGTGTCAGTCACGGGAGCAGTTGGACACTTTCCTTCTGACCAAGGAGGGGGCAGCCCATCACCCACTGCGTCTGAGATCAGAGCACCAAGCTCAGCAGCACCAGGCTGAATTCCCCATGAGTCCTGTGACCTCAGCCCACGCGGGGACCTACAGGTGCTACAGCTCACGCAGATTCTTCCCCTACCTGCTGTCTCACCCCAGTGACCCCCTGGAGCTCGTGGTCTCAGGTGAGGCCGCTGACCCTGTCCTCTCTGAGCTCAAACCTCAGCTCAGGCCCTGCCCCCAGGAGAGCTCAGGACGCTAAGGAAAGAGGGGAGTAAAGGGGGAGGGTCGGCAGGGGAGGGCCCAGCCCATGAGAGGGTGGAAATAGTCAGGGACCTCCTAATCCTGGGCTCCCACCCCAGAGACCTCAGATGGGGCTAAAGGCCAGGGAGGGCTGAAATGAGATATGGAGAAACCTTGGAGGAATCATGCTTAGGCTGAGGGTAGAAGATGGAGGCCCCACCCACTCCCCACCTGGGCTCCCCTGGCGGCCCCAAAATACTCAGTGCATACCTGAGACGAAGGGGAGATCATGCACCTGCTCACTGCAGCAATGCAGGCAAATTATTCAACAGCAAACCTCGTGTGCAATTCCTTTCTGTCCTTTATTTTTTATGTCCACATATCTAGTTTCTCTTTCTGTTTCTGAAGATTTCAAAGCAATGCTGGCATTTATAATTTACACATTTAATTTGTTAGGTAGCGTTATGATGTAAAATAACTGTGCTCTGATTTTCTTTGGGATTAAATTAAATATGTGCATTCATGATGGAGAATAACTTCTCATTAATAATGTCTTTTTATCCAATACATTTAAAATTAAACTTTATACAGTTAGCAGATGCTTGAAGTTGTATTCATAAAAATTGTGGACATTGTGAATTTTAAGCATTGTTTTACTACTTGAATAATTTGAAAGTCTTTGATTCCTTTCTATTTTCTAAAATTAGTTACGTATGGATGAGAAAGCTATTGGTTTGGGTATGCTAATTTTAGTTCCTATTAACTTACCACAGACACACTCCCTTTCAATCCTTTCCGAAATGATCTCTTCTGATTTATTGATAATAATTACATTAACCACAAGAAAATGGAGGACAAACTTGTTTGTTTCTAAATTATATAATACTCTTCTCACTTCAAATATATATGTATGTGTTTATATATACTCACACACTATTATATATCTTATAATATATATTATGTATTATATATTTATATATACACTATTATATATCTTATATATTATGTATTATATATTTATATATACCCACACATTATTATATCTTATAATATATATTATGTATTATATATTTATATATACCCACACATTATTATATCTTATAATATATATTATGTATTATATATTTATATATGCACTATTATATATCTTATATATTATGTATTATATATTTATATTACCCACACATTATTATATCTTATAATATATATTATGTATTATATATTTATATATACACACACTATTATATATCTTATTATATATTATGTATTATATATTTATATATACTATTATATATCTTATAATATATAATGTATTATATATTTATATATACACACACTATTATATATCTTATATATTATGTATTATATATTTATATATACATACTATTATATATCTTATAATATATTATGTATTATATATTTATATATATACACTATTATATATCTTATTATATATTATATATTTATATATGCACACACTATTACATATCTTATTATATATTTATATGTATACACACACTATTATATATCTTATTATATATTATGTACTATATATTTATATATACTATTATATATCTTATAATATATAATGTATTATATATTTATATATACACACACTATTATATATCTTATATATTATGTATTATATATTTATATATACATACTATTATATATCTTATAATATATTATGTATTATATATTTATATATATACACTATTATATATCTTATTATATATTATATATTTATATATGCACACACTATTACATATCTTGTTATATATTTATATGTATACACACACTATTATATATCTTATTATATATTATGTACTATATATTTATATATACTATTATATATCTTATAATATATAATGTATTATATATTTATATATACACACACTATTATATATCTTATATATTATGTATTATATATTTATATATACATACTATTATATATCTTATAATATATTATGTATTATATATTTATATATACACACTATTATATATCTTATTATATATTATATATTTATATATGCACACACTATTACATATCTTATTATATATTTATATGTATACACACACTATTATATATCTTATATATTATATATTTATATATACTCACACTATATCTTATAATACATATTATGCATACACATATGCATAATACATATTATCTATACACATATGCATAATACATATTATGTATACACATATGCATAACACATATTATGTATACACACATATTTACACCTATGCATATATGTATGTATGTATGCGAATGTACCTCTGCCACGGCAGGGAAAGGTTCTATCACACAACTACAGAGCAGTTAGGAGAAGTGTAGACACAAAGGAATGCAGCAACTGAGGGACATGTTGGCTTAAGTCTCTTCAACTCCTCACACACCTCCCCCTTTTTTGGTTGATTCTCAGGAGCAGCTGAGACCCTCAGCCCATCGCAAAACAAGACAGACTCCAAGACTGGTGTGTAAGGAGATGCTCTCGGTTATGGGGCTGGCACAGAGGGTCAGGTCCTGTGAAGGGGAGGTGGGTGCCCTGGGTGGACATCCAGGGGTCCCGGGTGATGTTGATCTGCCCTGACCTCTGAGACCTCTTGGTCCACCATCCCCAGCCTCACACCCCCAGGATTACACAGTGGAGAATCTCATCCGCGTGGCTGTGGCTGGCTTGGTCCTGGTGGTCCTCGGGATTCTGCTGCTTTAGGATTGGCACAGCTAGAGAAGTCCCCAAGATGCAGCAAGGAGGTAAATACATGAGAGAACAATGCACCCTTCAGAGTGCCAGAGCCTTGGCAATGAATCTGATAGTCCTAGGAGGTTCTGGAAGAAAGTCTGGACCATCATTCGGGAAACCGTCTACTGAGAAAGTCGAGAAGGGGAGGCTTGGGTCAGGTTCAGGAAGATGTCTGGGTGCCTGTAGAGAACGCTTCCTCCATTAAACTTCCATTAAATGGCAGTGCTTTCAGTCCTGCTGTTGTGGATCCTCCGTGTCTGCCCCTCCCTTCCTTTCGCTCTCTGTGATGTGAAGGCACGTCCCCCATGGTGGGTTTGCATCCACACCCCTGCGATCACGTGCTCTGGTCCACTGTCCTGTAATACATTTGTCTTTGTTTCCAACTACCGCATTCTCTAAAGTGAACTATTGATTCTCCATCTTTTCAGTTCTGAGCATAGATCTGGATTAAATAACTGGAATAGGTGGGCAGATTTGTATTTGGGACTTTGAAACATGAGTCTGAGGCCAGGCACAGTGGCTCACACCTGTAATCCCAGCACTTTGGGAGGCTGAGGTGGGCGGATCACTTGAGGTCAGAAGTTCGAGACCAACCTGGCCAACATGGTGAAACCCTGTCTCTACTAAAAGATACAAAAATTAGCTGGGTGTGGCAGTGAGCACCTGTAATCCCAGCTGCTCAGGAAGCTGAGGTGGGAGAATAGCTTGAACCCGGGAGGCGGAGGTTGCAGTGAGCCAAGATCTTGCCACTGCACTCCAGCCTGGGCAACAGAGCAAGACTCCATCTCCAAAAAAAAAAAAAAAAAAGGGAAATATGAGTCTGAAATGATGCCCTAGCACCCTCTCTGGACCCTGAATTCCCTTCACTCTTCATCGGATGATACCTGTGTACTTCGTCCAGAAATATCATCTCTCAGAATGAGCACACTAACGCTCGAAGGCTCAGCCTCATGGTATTCTGTTAAACTGGCTCTCTGAAAAAATTATTTTCTTAAGAAAACTCTGAACATATAAAGCCCCAGATTTATGGTATTTGCTGATTAGTGTGGTATAAATACGTCCTTTATGGCCAACTTCAGGGTGCCCATATGACGCCATTGAATGCACAGTTGGGAAATAGTCAAAAGAATTGTCGTTCACACGAGTATGAACCAGTTGTAAAGTTTATTTAAAGGTTATAATAATTTCTGCTTCATTCTTATGGTGTAGTTTCAGTAAAATTGTAATGTCAAAAATCATAGCACAATGGAGGGAAAAGAAAAAAATAGGCCGGGTGTGGTGGCTCATGCCTGTAATCCCAACACTTTGGGAGGCCGAGGCAGGAGGATCACCTGAGGTCAGGAGTTCGAGACCAGCCTGGCCAACATGGTGAAACGCTGTCTCTACTAAAAATACAAAAATTAGCCAGACATGGTGGCGCCTGCCTGTAATCCCAGCTACTTGGGAGGCCAAGGCACGAGAATCGCATGAACCCAGGAGGCGGAGGTTGCAGTGAGCCGAGATCACTACAGCCTGGGTGATAGAGCAAGACTCAGTCTCAAGAAAAGAAAAAAGTAGCAAAATCATTTTTTGGAAAGAATATTGAACATGTAGAATTTTAGTACATTAATAGTAAGAGTACAAATTGCTTTAATCAATTAAGGAAGTGTATTGGAATTATCTAGTTAAAAAGAGGAGGCACACGGCTGTGACCCTTCTTAATTATGTACTTAATTATGTACCCTAGAGATAAATGTCTACTTATGTGTCATGATACACTCACAACTGTTATAGGAATGCTGTTCCTATTAGCCAAAGCTATAAAATACCAAAGTCCACCTACGAAAAAAATAAACATAGTGTGGTAAATAGACTCAGTGGAATATTACAAGGTAGTAAAATGCATAAATGAAAATAACAAACAGCACCATACTTCAATTTTCAAGCATAAAGTCAAGTAAATGAAGTATTATTTGAAAATGTGTGCATGGTTATTTCATTACATAAAGGTCAAAAGGAGGGTACATTTATTATTTAGGAAAACACACCTAAGATATCTTTGTAAAATCTGTAAAATCAATAGTACTGTTTCCCCTCTTTCATTCCTTATCTTGAAAATGCTTGTCTCTTTTTCTGCCATGGCTTTCTACCTTGCTTGATATATTACAATTTTGTAACCTGCTTATTTCATCATATGTCATAAGTTCACATGTATATCCCATGAATTATTGAGGGTCTTATTCATTTCAAGTGGCATTTAGGTTTTTAAAAATATCTTTTGGCGACCAGGTGCAGTGGCTCATGCCTGTAATCCCAGCACTTTGGGAAGCCAAGGCAGGTGGATCACGAGTTCAAGAGACAGAGATCATCCTGGCGAACATGGTGAAACCCCGTCTCTACTAAAAATACAAAAAAAAAAAAAATTAGCTGGGCATGGTAGAGGGTGCCTGTAGTCCCAGCTTCTCAGGAGGCTGAGGCGGGAGAATGGCGTGAACCCGAGAGACGGAGGTTGCAGTGAGCCGAGATCGTGCCACTGCACTCCAGCCTGGCAACAGAGTGAGACTCTGTCTCAAAAAAAAAAAAAAAGAAAGAAAGAAAGGAAGAAAAAAAAATCTTCTGGCATTAACTATTAAGAAATTGCACTATAAAAAGAGAATATAATGCATAAGACGGCAATTTGAAAAGATTCAGATATAATTTTTTCTTATCTAGTAAATACTTAGTAATTTGTCTAATGCATGCCTTAAATACATACCACTTTATGCAGAGGTTGCCATGAGCCGAGATCACGCCGTTGCACTCTAGCCTGGGTGGCAGAGCAAGACTCCATCTCAAAAAAAAAAAAGAAAATCTCACAGAAGGAGACCCAGAGCTTCCAGCCTCGCCCAGAGTCTTGGCTCACTCCCTGTGTGTGTGGACCCTAGGGAGCCTCTTCTGTTCCCCACAGAGGTGGAAACTTCCTCCTTAATAACCCCTTGATGGTCCCAGGCACTGGTGACCACTGAGCTTTGCTCTCTCTTTTTTCTTATGGTTCCCTGTCTACTTCCAGGGCTATCACTTTACTTTTTGTGCATTAGACCATGAATAATGTTTTAGAAACATTCTATCAAATTTCTCAGTGCTAGGAACAACTGAGGTTTTTGATTGGGTGCCTCAAATGTCTACCCTTACTGTGGAGTCCGACAACAGGATTCTAACAAGTCCCAACCCCTTCATGCCTTAACCTGGTCTGGAAATAAATTATGTTTAAGCCATCCCATACCCCAGCCACATCAAGCCCCACAACCACTCTGAGAAGTGAGATTTATAGCAAAATGCTCCAAACAAGGTAACTAAGGTTCAGACAAGGGATGTTAATGTGTCCATTTACATAAACAAAAAATGGTAGATGATCAGCTTTCCCTTTGAAATCAGAGTACTAATCTGACTCATTGTTCCCTGAATTTTAGAGGCAGGACCTCAGGAGGAGCTAAGAATCCTACCCCAGGAAAATTACCAATATCAGAAAGGAAACAATGACATCAGTACAGATCCTACAGAATTCAAAAGATTCTAAGTGGACATTATGAAGACATTATTCAGCTTAGATGAAGTGGTCACATATCACAAGAAAACAAACTGTCTAAAACAATCTCTGAAATACCTAGACATTCCCTGAATCATTGAGTTATTAAATAAAATACATTTTAAAATTAAACTCTTTTCAGGAAATAAACTTCAATGTCCCCTAGTGCACTCTCCAAAACATGTAGATAGGAATAAATACTGTTCTGAAAGACATTTCCCTGGAATTACAACCATTCAATATATTTTAAAAGGCAATCATAAAAATATAAAAAGGATATATCAGGAGAAGAAATGTAAATGGCCTAAATTCCCCACATAAAAGGCATAGAGTGGCAACGTGGATAAAAAGCCAAGAGCCAACTGCCTGCTGTCTTCAAGAGACCCATCTCACATGTAATGACACCCACAGGCTCAAAGTAAAAGGATGAAGAAATATTTACTAGGCAACCAGGAAACAAAAAAAAGGAAGGCATTCCTATTCTTATATCACATGAAACACACTTTAAATCAACAGCAATCAGGAAGGACAAAGAAGGGCATTACAAAATGATAAAGGGTTCAATTTGACAGAAGACTTAACTATTCTAAATATATATGCACCCAAATTTGGAGCACCCCGATTCATAAAACAAGTTATTCTTCACCTATGAAAAGAGTTAGACAGCCACACAATAATAGTAAGGGACTTCAGTATCCCACTAACAACGTCAGATGAATCACTAAAACAGAAAACTAACAAAGAAATTCTGGTCTTAAAGACAACACTTGACCAATTGGACCTCATAGACATCTACAGAGTACTCCACCCAACAACTGCAGAATATAGATTCTTCTTATCTGCACACACAAAAAACATATCATATTCTAAGACTGGCCACAAAGCAAGTCTCAATAAATTCAAAGAATCAAAATCATAACAAGGCACACAATAAAAATAGAAAAAAATACCAAGATGATCTCTCAAAACTACAGAAAAACATGGAAATTTAACAACTTGTTTCTGAATGAATATTAAGAGCCATCTATGACAAATCCACAGCCAACATCATATTGAATGGTCAAAAGCTGGAACTGTACCCCTTGAGAACTCTTGGGTGAACAATGAAATTAAAGCAGAAATCACAAAACATTATTTAAAATTAATAAAAATAGAAACAAACTTACCAAAACCTTTGGGATGCAGTTAAAGCAGTGATAAGAGGAAAATTTATAGCAATACATGCCTCATCAGAAGTTTAGAAAGATCTCAAATTAGTGACTTAACACTGCATCTAGAGGAACTATTAAAAAAAAGGAACAGTCCAAACCCAAGGCCAGCAAAAGATGAGAAATAACTAAAGTCAGAGAGAACTGAATAAATTGAGACCAAAAAGTCCATACAAGAGATAAATAAAACCAAGAGTTTTTCTTTGAAAAAAAATAAACAAAATTCATAGACTGTTAGCTAGATTAACAAAGAAAAAGAGAAAAGATCCAAATAAACACAAATAGAACTGACAAAACAATGTTACGAACAATCCCACAGAAATAGAAAAGATCGTCAAAGACTATTATGAACACCTCTATACAAACAAGCTAGAAAACCTAGAAGAAATGGATAAATTCCTGGTAACACAAAATTTATCATATTTCAACCAGGAAGAAAGTGAAAACCTGAACAGACCAATAACAAGTTCAGAAATTTAATCAGTAATAAAAACCCTACTAACTAAAAATAGCCCAGGACCAGACGGATTCACAGCCAAAATCCAACAGCCATACAAAGAAGAACTGATACCGATCTTACTGAAACTTTTGGAAAAAATCAAGGAGTGGGGGCTTCTTCCTAACTCATTCTATGAAGCCATCATCACCATGATACCAACATCTGTCAGAGACATAATGAAAAAAAGAAAACTACAACTAAATATCCTTAATGAACATAGACATAAAATCCTCAACAAAATGCTAGCAAATTGAATCTGTCAGTGCATCAAAAGTTAATTCACATGATCAAGTAAGCTTTATTTTTGGGATGCAAGGTTGGTTCAACCTACAAAGTCAACGAATGTGATTCACCTCATAAACATAATTAAAAACAAAAACTATATGATCATCTCAATAGATGCAAAAAAAGCTTTCTGTAAAATCCAACATCCCTTCATGATAAAAACTGTCAATAGGCATCAAAGGAACATACCTCAAAATATTAAGAGCCATCTATGACAAACCCACAGCCAACATCATATTGATGGGCAAAAGCTGGAACCATACCCCTTGAGAACCGAAACAAGACCAGGATGACCACTCCCGCCATTTTAATTCAACATGGTACTGGAAGTCCTAGCCAAAGCAATCAGGCAAGAGAAGGAAATAAAAGGCATTAAAATTGGAAAAGAAGTAGTGATACTGTCTCTCTTTGCTGATGAAATAATTTTATACATAGAAAACCCTAAAGACTCTGTCAGAAGGCTCCTGAAACTGATAAACAAATTCAATAAAGTTTCGGGATTAAAAAAATGTACACAAATTAGTAACATTTCTATGCACCACTAACATTCTAGCTGAGAACTAAATCAAGAACACAATTCCATTTACACTAGCCACAAAGAAAATAAAATACCTAGGAATCCATCTAACCAAGAAGGTGAAAATTCTCTACAAGGAGAACTACAAAACACTTCTGAAAGAAATAAGAAATGATACAAACAAATGGAAGAATATTCCATGCTCATGAATTAGGAGAACAAATAGTTAAAATCGCCATACTTCCAAAAACAAATTGCAGAGTCAATGCTATCCATTTCAAAATGCAATGTCATTTTTCACGAAATTATAAAAATTTATTCTAAAATGTATTTGGCACCAAAAAAAGAGCCTGAATACACATAGGAATCCTAAGCACAAAGAACAAAGCCCAGGCATCACATTACCCAACTTCAAACTATACTACAATGCTATAGTAACCCAAACAGCATGATACTACTACAAAAACAGACACATAGACCAATGAGACAGAATAGAGAACCCAGAAATGAGGCTACATACCTACAATCATCTTTGAAAAAATTGACAAAAACAAGCAATGTGGAAAGTACCCTTTCTTCAATAAATAGTTCTGGGATAACTGACTACTCATATGCAAAATAATAGAACTGGACCCCTAACTCTCACTATATACAAAAATTAACCCAAGATAGTTTAAAGATTTAAATGTAAAACCTCAAAATATTAAAATTCTAGAAGAAAACCTAGGAAATATCCTTCTCAAGATAGACTTTGGCAAAGAATTTATGGCTAACTCCCCAAAACCAATTGTGACAAAGACAGAAATTGGGACCTAACTCAACTGAAGAGCTTCTGCACAGCAAACGAAAGTATCAACAGAGTAAACAGATAACCTACAGACTGGGAGAAAATATTTGCAAACTATGCATCTGACAAAGTTCTAATATCCAGAATCTATAAGGAATGTAAACAAATCAACAAGCAGAAAACCAAAAAACCTCAATTAAGTATGACATGAACAGACACTTCTCAAAAGAAGATGTACACATGGCCAAAAAACATATGAACAAATGCTTATTATCAGTAATCATCAGAGAAATGCAAATTAAAACCACAGTGAGATACCATCTCACAACAATCAGAGAAGCAGAAGCAATTACTAAAAAGTTTTTTGTTTTTTTTAATAACAGATGCTGACAAGATTGTGGAGAAAAGGGAACACTTATACACTCTTGGTGGGAATGTTAACTAGTTCAGCCAATGTGATAAGCAGTTTGGAGACTTCTCAAATAACTTAAAATAGAACTACTATTCAATCAAGCAATCCCACTACTGGGTATATACCAAAAGGAAGGTAATTAACTATGTCAAAAAGACACATGCACTAGTATATTCATTGCTGTGCAATTCAGAATAGCAAAGATTTGCAGTCAACCTAAGTGCTCACCAACAGTGGATTAGTTAAAGAAAATGTGCTACATATACACATGGAACATTACATGGCCATAAAAAATAATGAAATCATGTCCTTTGCAGCAACATGAATGTAGCAGGAGGTCAATCTCCTAAGTGAACTAACCCAGGAACAGAAAACCAAATACCACATGTTATCACTTATAACTGAGAACCAAACATTGAATACACATGAACATAAAGATGGAAACAACAGATACCGAGGACTACAGATGGGGGGAGGAGTAGGGAGGTATAGGCTGAAGAAACACCTGTTGGATTCTATGCTCATTGCCTGGGTGATGGCATTGTTGGAACCACAAACCTCAGAGTCACACAATATGCCTATGTAACAAACCTGCATGCATACCTTTAATCTACAGTAAAGGTTGAAGTTATTTAAAAATAGGAAGAAGAATTACCCTATACCTAAAGCTAAGATTTTTCCCTTTGAATATTCGTTTCTTCATCACTGTAGATAAGCAGGGAAAGAAAAATTATTATACTATACTAGCCTTTTATGTGACCATGAGGATTTGGGGTAGGTAGGTGGACAGCTTAGATAATTCACCAGGATATTGATACAGGCTCCATGGCTGGAAATAACCAAGGATGAGTGCTGTGTTTTGAGTGGTCTCCCCCAGAAACGTTTGTTGAAATCCTAACCCCTGGTATGTATGAATGTGAATTCATATTATATAAAAAGGAATAAATAGCCTGAGCACAGTGGCTCACACCTGTAATCCCAGCACTTTGGGAGGCCAAAGCAGGTGGATCATTTGAGGTCAGGAGTTCTGGCCAATATGGCAAAACTTCATCTCTACAAAAAAAAAATACAAAAAAAAAAATTGGCTGGGTATGGTGGCGCATGCCTGTAGTCCCAGCTACTCAGGAGGCTGAGGCAGGAATTGCTGAAACCTGGAAGGCAGAGGTTGCAGTGAGCCAAGATCATGCCACTGCACTCCAGCCTGGGTGAGACGGCAAGATATTCTGTCAAAAATAAATAAATAAAAAACAGAAGAAGAAATACAAGAATGACAGCAAACTTTGTATTCAAAACTATGAAAGTAAGAAACAGGTGGACCAACATTTTTAAAGTGCTACAAGAAAATATTTCAAACTAGAATCTTTCAACCTGAAAAGGAAAACATTTTCCTGCAATAAAGGTGCCATTAAAAATGTCTCACAATTTATTACATGAAGCATTGTTCTACAATAAATGTTAAGCTCTTGAAGCAAAGATTAATGATACCATTTAGTAACTTGAAATTCAAAAAAGTGGAAGTATCCCAAGAGGCAAATACGTGTGCAATTATTAAATGTTTCATATCAACACCCAACCTTATGCTGTCTACATAAGCTGCACTTCAAATACTAATCCACAAGATGTAAATATTGAAAGAATGACATTACCTTGTCATGATAATGCCCAGTGCAAAATATGCTTCTAGTCAGTTGTATACATAGAATAGGTAAATGTTTGTAATAAAAAGTATTCCTCAATAGAAGTTTCTTAACTCAAAGAATGAAATATTTCACCATGCACATACAAAGAAGAGATATATGGAGATATGAAGAGGAGTACTTCATAATGACAAAGAGGCAAATTCATAAATAAGACATAATCATCCTAAATGCCTACACACCTAAAGCTGGAACCTCAAAACACATTAAATTAAAGGCATAATTCAAAACATAATCAATCACATCCAAATTGCAGCTAGAGATAGCAACATTCACCTCACTTCCAGAACAAGTACACAGAAAATTATTAAGCATATGAAAGACTTGAAAAACATTTGTGTAGGCGGCGGGTGCATAAGGTTGGGTGTTGATATGAAACATTTAATAATTTCAATAATCCTAGCACTTTGGGAGGCCAAAATGGGAGGATCACTTGAGGCCAGGAGTTTGAGACCAGCCTGGGCACCATAGTGAGACCCCGTCTCTATTTTTTTTAAATAAAGAAAAACATTTGAATGATTTTTTTCTTAACTGACATTTAGAAAGCATCCACCTCAAATCTTCCTAATCCACAAACTTGTCTAGCACCCCTGGAACATTCACCAAAATAAATTTTTAAATGCTGAATCATAGGTAATATGATAGATGAAACAGTTGAATTAAATTATAAATGTACAACAAGGAAATGCTGGGGAAATTATCAAATATTTTAAAATTAATAAACACACATAGCAATAAACAATGAGTGGAAGAAAAACATTTCAAAGAAAGGTGGAAAATATTTTGTATCAATTAAAAATGAAAACACATCTCGGCAAATGACTGGGGATACAGATAGAACAGCGTTAAGGGACAATAAGCCTCAAATGTCTGTGTTAGAAAAGAAGGAAGAGCTGAGTAAATAGGTAACTTTCACTTGCAGAAATACTACACATCAGCAAATTAATTCCAAAGTAACGTCGAGGAAAAACATAAAATGGCAAGCAAATATATACGTGCATATGTACATACATTCATAAATGACAAACAGGACAGAAAAATCAGTGACATCAATTTTGTTCCTTAGAAGAAACAGGAAAATTGACCCCAAAAAACTTTCCAGGCCACATTTGGTCATGATGGAAATATTTTGGCACTTCCTGGTTAAGCTCAACACCAACTTGCACCCAAAACCAATAATTTCATTTCTAGGTAAATATGTCTAATTAATTCAGCATATGTATGCAAGGGATCACACAGAAACACGATTATCAAGGCCCGAGTTATAAAAGAGAAAATCCGGAAACAACACAAATGTCCATGATAAAAAGAATGGATAATTACATGTTGATAAAGTTATGCATGGACTATTAAACTGCAATCCAAAAGAATAAAATAGAGCTATAAAATTCAATATGTATATGGTGTCATAGAAACACAAATGTGAGAAAAAGAAAGAAAAATACAAAATTTATATTTTTTAAAATTTGAAACAACTATATATGTGAGTGCTTAGGGTGTGTGTGTGTGTGTGTGTGTGTGTGTATAACCATATGTATATAAATGCACACATACGCACACATATAGAATGTCCCGGCCAGGCATGGTGGCTCACACCTGTAATCTCAGCACTTTGGGAGGCTGAAGTAGACAGATCACTTGAGGTTAGGAGTTCAAGACCAGCCTGGCCAACATGGAGAAACCTCCTCTCTACTAAAAGTACAAAAATTAGGTGGGCGTGGTGGTGGGTGCCTGTAAATCCAGCTACTTAGGAGGCTGAGGCACGAGAATTGCGTGAACCTGGGAGGTGGAGGCTGCAATGAGCCGAGGTCTCACCACTGCATTCCAAACTGGGTGACGAAGTGAGATTGCGTCTCAAAAAAAAAAAAAGTTCTAAAAGTTGTGACTTGGGTGTGGCAGATTGTGACATACTGCCAGCTGCTAGAAATGCTGGGGCAGGAGGATTGCTTGAACTCTGAAGTCAAAGAACAGCCTGGGGAAAATAGCACATGAAGAAGAGTTTGAATCTCAGATAAAAACAACAAAAATACATCAAAAGTCTTTAATGTAAGCCAAGCATTCAGTCATCTCCTGTATGAGAGATTGGATCTGAGACGTGTTTTGAGTTGGTTATAGTGAAGGATGCAAGGTGTCAATTCTAGTTGGAACAATTTCCAGGAAGCCATGTTCTGCTCTTGACCAAACAGCCACTGGGCCTCATGCAAGGTAGAAATAGCCTGCATACGTCATCCTCCCATGATGTGGTCAGCATGTAAACTGCATGAGCCCCTCACAACATCCTGTGTGCTGCTGAACTGAGCTGGGGCGCAGCCGCCTGTCTGCACCGGCAGCACCATGTCGCTCATGGTCGTCAGCATGGCGTGTGTTGGTGAGTCCTGGAAGGGAATCGAGGGAGGGAGCGGTGGGGTGGAGATCTGGGCCTGGAGTGGAGATATGGGCCTGGAGTGGAGATATGGGCCTGGAGTGGAGATATAGGCCTGGAGTGGAGATATGGGCCTGGGGTGGAGATATGGGCCTGGAGTGGAGATATGGGCCTGGAACTGTAGATATGGGCCTGAAGTAGAGATATGGGCCTGGAGTAGAGATATGGGCCTGGAACTGTAGATATGGGCCTGGAGTGGAGATATTGGCTTGGAGTGCAGATATGGACCTGGAATTGAGATACGGGCCTGGAGGTGGAGATATGGGCCTAGAGTGGAGATATGGGCCTGGAGGTGGAGATATGGGCCTGGAACTGTAGATATGGGCCTGGAGTAGAGATATGGGCCTGGAGTGGAGATGTTGGCTTGGAGTGCAGATATGGGCCTGGAATGGAGACACGGGCCTGGAGGTGGAGATACAGGCCTGGAGGTGGAGATATGGGCCTGGAGTGTAGATATGGGCCTGGAGTAGAGATATAGGACAGAGGTGGAGATATAGGCCTGGAGTGGAGATATGGGCCTGGAGTAGAGATATAGGACGGAGGTGGAGATATGGGCCTGGAGTGGAGATATGGGCCTGGAGGTGATGTACAGATGGATCATCCATCATGATCTTTCTTTCCAGGGTTCTTCTTGCTGGAGGGGCCCTGGCCACATGTGGGTGAGTCCTTCCCCCAAACCTTAGGTTGTCATCTCCCCACATAAGATGATGTTCCTGAAACGGGAGGCAGGCGACACAGGGGGTTGACTGATGGGCTGACCATGGGAAGCCATGTGGGAATCTCTCATGAACTAGGAAAAGGAAGCCAGGGGAAGCTTCGCCACAGTTCTGTCCTAGCCCTCCCCGGCCTTTCTTTCCCTTGGCTGAGTCTGTGGGGACCCAGGGGGAGACTGAAGTGCTCAAAGGAGTGGTGTGCAGGGAGGAAGTGGTGTCACCGGCAGAGGAAGGGAGAGAAGCAGTGCAAGGAACAACAGGCCTCTGAGGACAAGAGCATAACTCACACCCTCCAGCGTTTCCATGACGGTAGGGGCTGCAATGTGGCTGCTGTCATTCTACCTAAGAGGTGGGGGAACCACAGTCATGACCCTGACATTCCAGATCTTCTAATAGGGGCTCAGTTGTTTATTATGGTTCATGCATTAGCTGATCATGCCCTCCATCCTGTGTCTACCTTGTGTTCTTTTATGTAAGTAATTTTGCAGTGTTAAAATCTAGTAAGAGTCGCTTCTTCAGCACCTGCTCAAAGTTCTCAGCTGACACTTGCTGTAGGGAGACGCCATGTCTATGCGGGATGGGTCCTTCCTGTAGCCCTGGGCACCCAGGTGTGGTAGGAGCCTTAGAAACGTGGAAATGGGAGAATCTTCTGAGCACAGGGAGGGAGGGGCGGCTCCACATCCTCCTCTCTAAGGTAGTGCCTCCTTCTCCCCCAGGTGGTCAGGACAAGCCCTTCCTCTCTGCCTGGCCCGGCACTGTGGTGTCTGAAGGACAACATGTGACTCTTCAGTGTCGCTCTCATCTTGGGTTTAACGAATTCAGTCTGTCCAAAGAAGACGGGATGCCTGTCCCTGAGCTCTACAACAGAATATTCCGGAACAGCTTTCTCATGGGCCCTGTGACCCCAGCACATGCAGGGACCTACAGATGTTGCAGTTCACACCCACACTCCCCCACTGGGTGGTCGGCACCCAGCAACCCTGTGGTGATCATGGTCACAGGTCAGAGGCTTTCTGTCTGGGCTTCTCACTGTCCCACCTCCTGAATCCCAGAGCTTCTGGTGGGGGCGTCCATCAGGGTCCAATCATCCAGGCCCAGACTGTATTTGGGGTAAAGGGGGATTCAGTACAGAGAAATAGTTGCTGTGGTGGGAAGAATAATTGTCCCCAGTGATGGCTACATGGTAATCCATGAACCCTGTGACTATTTATGTCATAGGGCAGGGGACTGAAGGGGAAGATGGAGCTCAGGTTGTTGATGAGTTGACCTTGCGATGGGGAGACAGCCTGGACTGTCCTGCTGTGCTCAGAGTAATCACAAGGGTCCTCATGAGAGGAGGAGGAAGAGGAAAGTGGGGTTAGAGCAACGTCGTGGGAGGGAGACTCCATCAGCCACAGCGGGCTTTGAAGATGGGGGAAGGCCATGAGCCACAAAGGCAGTTGGCCTCTAAGGGCTGGAGAAGTCAAGGGAACTGATTCTTCCCTGAGTCTCCAGAGGAAACACAGCCCTGTAGATGCCTTGATTTTAGCCCAGAGAGAACTGGGTCCGATTTCTGTTCTCCAGAAGTGGAAGGGGTCATTGTATTCTCTCCTGCCCCATGTTTGTGACAATTTTCTCCAGCAGCAACAGGAAACCAACACAGGAACCCAGGTGAAGCACAAGTTAAGAAACCAAACAAGGAGAAGGTTGGCTACACTGATTTTAGCATGGGTGGGATACTGATGCTACCACCAGGCTCGATCCACATAGGGAGGGGTTGATGCTCCTGGAACCAGCACCAGGGGCCACCCTATGGAAGCTGGGGCCATGGAGAAGGCACAGACATGACAGGAGAGGCTCCCAATCCCCATCAGGAACAGGGACACTGATGCCTGCCTTACTGATGAGTTCGTACCTCCTGCCAGCCTTTCCAATCTGTCCAAAAGAGATTGATTCAGGCTGCTAAGAGCCTGGACATGCAGCCTGTCGTGGTTCCTCTTCCACCCCCACATAAACACCAGGAAAGAGATTAGTGGGAAACAGATACAACAGCATAAGAGGTGACACTGAGCACAGTGGGAAGGGAATCAGGGCTACTAGAGACAGAGAGACAGGGAAGAGGGAGGGAGACAGATGGAGGGACCTGCAACAGGGGTTATGGGCACAAAAGAACACGGAGACACAGAGAGGAAGGAGAGAGATAGACACCATGGAGGGGAAGCCTCACTTATTTCAGGTCCCATGAATGGGATGAGAAAGGGAGACGCCTTCTGAACTCACAACCTCTCTTCTTAGGAGTCCACAGAAAACCTTCCCTCCTGGCCCACCCAGGTCCCCTGGTGAAATCGGGAGAGACGGTCATCCTGCAATGTTGGTCAGATGTCAGGTTTGAGCGCTTCCTTCTGCACAGAGAGGGGATCACTGAGGACCCCTTGCGCCTCGTTGGACAGCTCCACGATGCGGGTTCCCAGGTCAACTATTCCATGGGTCCCATGACACCTGCCCTTGCAGGGACCTACAGATGCTTTGGTTCTGTCACTCACTTACCCTATGAGTTGTCGGCTCCCAGTGACCCTCTGGACATCGTGGTCGTAGGTGAGAGAATACAGACCTGCCTCTCACCCTTGCTGGGAGATGGAGTGAATGATCTAGGACTGGAAGCCCCAGGTGGTCATGAGGAAGATGAGTGTGGGGTTCCTATGGAGAGAAAGTGACTTGGTGAGGTCTGTACCAACAAAGGCAGAGAAACAGGAGACACAAGTACAGACCTCATGTCATAACATAGAAGCCAGACACAGGGGCCATACAAGGTGTTAGAAAAAGAGATAAAGAGGTAAAGAAGACACAGAGAGACAGATATATCCCAGAGAGAGGTGTCCTTCTATGCTGACTTTGTTCAGAGACCAGGCACAGGTTAGAAGGTTCCATTCTGTTTTACCTCTACAAAGTGTTCTCTCCCAGGAGAACCCAAAGAGACACATCTATCTGGCCTGAGTTGGGCCGTGTGGCCCCAGGCTGGTGGCACCTACAGATGCTGTGTTTATTCTTAAACCTCTGCCTTCCGTGCAGTGGAGCTGTCGTCGTCGCAGGACACCATGGCCCCAGGTGAGGGAGCAGAACACCAACCCCTGTATGTTGTGAGTTCCTGGAGTCCCCATACTGGATTCTGAGGCTCATATTCAAATAGCACCACATGTTATAGGATTACTGAGAACAAAAGCCCACAGAGAGACACGGAGTGAAATCAGGGAAATCAAAAAGCAAAGACATGAACACACACACAGAATGAGCCAGAAGAAGGGAATTGAGAGACTCACAGACACATAAAGAGATAGAAAAAGAGGGCAGAGAAGTGGAGCGTATGATGGAAGGAAGCAGAGAAAAGCCCTAAAATCAGAGCCCTGAGGGAGGGGCACAAAGACAGGGAAAGATAAAGATGTGGGGATGGATTGCAGAGACTCCAAAAGGGAACTAGAGAGACTGAGAGGCAGAGAAAGACAAGGAGATGGAGAGAGACAGATGATAGATGGATAGATAGATATAGATAGATGAAAGATAAAAGGTAGATGATAGATAATAGAGAGACAGGTGATAGACAAATAGATGATGAATGACTGATAGATGATATAGATAGACAAGTAGAAAGACAGACAGATGATATATAAATAGATATAGAGAGATAGAAAGACAGATAAACACATGATGATAGATGGATAGATGCATACATACATACATTGATTGATAGATGATAGATAACAGAGAGATAGGTCATAGATACACAGATGATGATAGATGATAGATACATACATAGATAAATGATAGATCGATCAATAGATAGTAGATAGAAATATGCAGAAAGTTATGAGCAAGACAGAAAGTGAGAGACTCAGAATTAAAGAAAGAGGAAGATCAAGTCAACCAGTCCAAGGAGGGTCAGAGAGAATAAAATGGTACAAAAAAAGAAAACATAGCTAGGGATGGAGAAGTGAGGTCAGAGACCTAGAGAGACAGAGAAGGTGGAAGGAGGAAATAGACATGAAGAGAGATGGGGGTGGAGGGTGAGAGAGAGAAAGAGAGCATTAAGTCATAGAGCAGGGGAGTGAGTTCTCAGCTCAGGTGTGAGGAGAGCTGTGACAACGAAGAACCTCCCTGAGGAAACCACCTCTTCTCCTTCCAGGTCTATATGGGAAACCTTCTCTCTCAGCCCAGCCGGGCCCCACGGTTCAGGCAGGAGAGAATGTGACCTTGTCCTGCAGCTCCCGGAGCTTGTTTGACATTTACCATCTATCCAGGGAGGCAGAGGCCGGTGAACTTAGGCTCACTGCGGTGCTGAGGGTCAATGGAACATTCCAGGCCAACTTCCCTCTGGGCCCTGTGACCCACGGAGGGAACTACAGATGCTTCGGCTCTTTCCGTGCCCTGCCCCACGCGTGGTCAGACCCGAGTGACCCACTGCCCGTTTCTGTCACAGGTGAGAAAACACCATGCCTGTCCCATGTCTTGTGATCCTAGAGCCATAGCTGAGGAGCTTCCTGCTGATGATGGAGAGAAGCATGGACAGATGCCGAGACAGAACACACAGCATGGGTGTAAGGGCGGGGTCAGGGGGCAGGATGGCAGACAGGGCACCTCCAAACCCTCCTGTATGGCCTGCAAGGAGGCCCTTGATCAGGGTTCCAGGCACCCAGGCAGATGGAGAAAGAGGTCAGAACAGACCCAGAGGAGGGAGACTGGGCTCTGCCTGGGGAGATCAGAGGTTCTCTCAGCCCCTCAACCTTACCCACTTCCCAGAAGCCCATCCTGGCCTGTCACCCACAGAGAGATGTCATCACCAGCAACGCCTACACCCTTTTCTTTTTGTTTGAAGAAATATTTATTGAGGTGAAATATACCTATGTAATTTACCACCTTTACCATTTTTAAGTGTGAAGTCTACTGTTCATAAATACATTTATAGGCTGGGCACGGTGGCTCACTGTTGTAATCCCAACACTTTGAGAGGCCAAGGCAGGTGGATCATTTGAGATCAGGGGCTCAAGACCACCCTGGCCAACATGGGGAAAATCCATCTGTACTAAAAATACAAAATAATAATAATAATGATAATAATTAGCCGAGCATGGTGGCACATGCCTGTAGTCCCAGCTACTTGGGAGGGTTGGGCAGGAGTTGCACTTAATTGCAGGAGGCGGAGGTTGCAGTGAGCTGAGATCATGCCACTGCACTGCAGCCTGGGCAACAGAGAGAGACACTCTCTCAAAATTAATTAATTAATTAATTAGTATTCTTTTTTTTTTACCCTCCACCCTTCCCTTCCTGGCCTCTGGTAGCCACCATTCTACTCTCTACCTTTGTGAGATCCACCTTTTAGCTCCTGCATATGAGTGAGAAATGGAAATACTTGTAATGACCTCCAGTTCCATTCATGTGGCTGTAAATGACAGGATGTTACTCTTTCTATGGATGAGTTGTCCCTATTGTGTGTGTGTACCACATTCTCTCCATCCATTCACCCACTGATGGGCGGGTAGGTTGATCCACATCTTGGCTACTGTGAACACTGCTGGAACAGTCATGGGAGTGCAGATGTCACTTCGATACGCTGATGTCCTTTCCTTTGGGTTTACACCCAGTCATGGAATTGCTAGATCCTCTGGAAGTGTCTTTTTACATTTTGTTTTATGGTTTTTGTTTTTGTTTTTGTTTTTTTTAGACAGTTTCACTCTTGTTGCCCAGGCTGGAGTGCAGTGGTGCCATCTGGGCTCACTGCAACCTCCACCTCCAGGATTCAAGAGATTCCCCAGCCTCAGCCTCCCAAGTAGCTGGGTTACTGGCTCCCACCACCACACTCGGCTAATTTTTATATTTTTAGTAGAGACAGAGTTTCGCTATATTGGCCAGGCTGCTCTTCAACTCCTGACCTCAAGTGACCTACCCACCTCGGCCTCCCAATGTGCTGGGATTACAGGCATGAACCACTGTGCCCGACCTCATTTTATTTTTTGAGGAACTTCCATACTCTTCTCCTCTGTAATGGCTGTACTAATTTACATTCGTATCAGCAGTGTACCAGATGCAACCCTGGTTGACTCAGCAGAGCAAGAGACGTGCAGTAAGAGAGAATTTAGCTTATTTATGCACACGACACTTCCACTCACTCACTCGTTCAGCCAATGCCCCATGCTCTGGCTGTGCAGTGTGGAATCTTTTCCTATTGTTGCCATAACAAATTTCCACAAGCTTCGTGGATGAAAACATGTTTTTCTTAATTATCTCACAGTGCTGTAACTCAGAAGTATGAACTGCATTTCACTGGGCTGATATCAAAGGGACAGTAAGGCTGGATTTCTTTTTAAGGTTCCAAGCAAGAATCTGCTCCTTAACGTTTCCCAGCTCCTAGAGGCTCCCACGTTCCTGGGCCCCTGGTCCCCTTCCTTCTTCCTCCTTCCTCAAAGCCCACAAAGGCTGGTCACGTCTCACATGGCATCATTCAGACTCTTCTTCTTTACCCATACCTTTTTCTCTGAATCCTGCTCTGCCTTCTTCCTCATCTTTTAAGGACTTTGGGATTCTATTGGGGTCACCAAGATAATCCATCTCAATCTCCCTAAAATCATCCAGCGTACCCTCTTTTTAAGTTCAGCTGATTAGCAACCGTAATGCCATCTGCAATCTTCATTCCTCCTTTCCTGTAAAATAACATATTCACAAGCTATGGAGGCTAAGACAGGGACATTTTGGGGGTGGGGCAGCATTCTCCTGCCTTCCACAAATGGTAAACAGGATGCATTTGGCCTCTGCTCTTGGGACGCTGATATTGCAGATGGGTAAATGCGAGGGCAGAGAATGAATGCACAAGGGTACCAATAAATGAATGATCCATTGGGAAGCATCTGTGCACCAAATCTGGGGTTTTTTGTGTGTGTGTGTTTTTTTTGTTTTCTTTTTTTTTTTTGAGTAGAGTCTCTCTCTGTTCCACAGGCTGGAGTGCAGTAGCACAATCTCAGCTCATTGCAACCTCTGCCTCCTGGGTTCATGCAATTCTCCTGCCTCAGCCTACCGAGTAGCTGGGATTACAGCTGTGCGCCACCACACTCGGCTAATTTTTTTGGTATATTTTTTAGTAGAAATGAGGTTTCACCATGTTGTGCAGGCTGTCTCAAACTCCCAATCTCAAGTGATCCCACCGCCTTAGCGTCCCTAAGTGCAAAGATTACAGGCGAGAGCTACTGCGCCCAGCCAGGATTTAAAATAAGTAATAGATAATGCTGAGTATATAATTTCAGGTGACAGAGAAGGTCTCACTGATCAGATAATATTTGTGACCTTAATGGAAAAAATGGATTCAACCCTTGGAAGATTGGCGGAAGGATTTTCCACACTGAGCTCTCAGCCGTGAAGGCACAAAGGTGGAAACATTCTTAGTTCAAGGAAGAGGCTCTGCCTCAAATGCTGGGAATGAGATGGGGAGAATGACAAGACAACTGTAGAGAGATGGAGAGCACACTGGGTACACAGGAAACTAAGGAGGAACAAGGAGCATGTTTTTGATACTCACAGCCCTTGGATTCAACTCAGAGCTAACTAGGAATCCCTACCTGATTAACAGTGACCGACATGAAAATAAGGGAGGCCCAGGTGCGTAACTGGAATCTAGGAGACCGTGGAAAAGGCAATTCCCGCCCCACTGGTGAAACGTAGGGTTGATTTACACACTAAATGAATGAAAGATGGATATAAGCTATGCTTGTGAGGTAGAATCATTTGCAGGGAGGGCTTGCTGGGTTTGATTTTTCCTAGTAGTTTAATCCTTGTTTCATTAATTTCTTTCTGAGATGTGTTTTTTTTCTACATCTAAATCAATACCTGGCAGAGGAGCGATAGACACATGAGGGGTGGTGCAAATGAAGGGACCTAGTATAATATAATATACAAGACTGTGGATGGGGGCTCACACCTGTAACCCAACACTTTGGGAGGCCAAGGCGGGTAGATCACTTAAGGGTAGGAGTTTGAGACCAGCCTGGCCAACATGGTGAAACCCCGTCTGTACTAAAAATACAAAAATTAGCCTGGTGCATTGGCACCTGCCTGTAATCCCAGCGACTGGGGAGGCTGAAGCAGAAGAATGGCTTCAACCCTGGAGGCAGAGGTTGAACTGAGATCGCATCACTGCACTCCAGCCTGACACAGGGGGACTCTGTCTCAAAAAATAAAAATAAAACATACATAATTATAATATGACACACAGAAATTACAAAGGCAACTGGATACCAACCATCATTTTTCTATTTCTCTGTATTTAATTCTTTGACCCTTTATCTTATCCATTAAACAATCAGGTTAAACCTCTTCCTTATTTGGCTTTCTGTGAGCTTGGGATCATATGGAAAATGTGAAAGCCTCCTGAACCCACCAGCACAGGTCCTGGAATAGAGAACATGCTCTGTTCATGGCATAAAACTTGCCCCTTCACCCAAATCCCCCAATTCATCTCTACTTCCAATCACCTATGGAGATACAGATAGATCATGGGGAGGTAAACACTAATACTCTTTGGAGTGAGCTCAGATCTTGGACTCAGAGACCAGTGCCAGCACTAGCCCCTGGTCACATTTCGTACTAACTCACAGAAGGACAGGCTGTATTGAAACAATAAACGACGGAGAGGGCGGTCCTTCCCCGTGCTTCTCGGGTGGAATAGCAGCCTAATATATGTCTCAGCAGATCACAAAAAGTAGCATGTTGTTCCTGGGCTACATCATTATTTCATGGCTGTTTGATTTAAGTCAGTTCTACTTCACTTTTTTTATCTTGATTTCATTTTTTCTTTCTTTTCTTGGAGAATGTAATTTTTTTGAGTCAAGAGGGTTGTGGTGGTAGAAACTGTAAAGCACATTCGCTGTGTATCAATCCCAATCCAGTCTTCCCAGAGAAGACTCTAAACACCTCCTGGAATGTACCTGGGCCTATACCAATTCCTATCACTCACCGTCACTCCAGGGAGACAGAACACACAGAGAACACATTACACAGGCAGGTTCATTACTAACAGATAAGCAGCGAGTGACAACAGAAGCCTACATTTCAATGTGAGCCAGTCCCTCAAGGCTCAGAAAAGCTGCTCGAGACATGTGGAGTCACCCCATATGCAGTGTATCTGGGGGAAATCAAAAAGCAGCCCAGCCTGGGTTTTGTACCCTGGAGCCACAGGAAGCACTCAGCTAAAGCACTGCATGACGTCCTCCTCCAGGAAGAACAGGAAGACAGCCCAGGCTGTTCTGGGATGTTCCTCCTGATCTCAGGACTTTGCTGTCTTAGTCCATTTTTGTTGCTCTAAAGGAACACTTGAGCCTGGGTAACTTCTAAAGAAAAGAAATGTGTTTGCCTCACAGTTCTGCAGGCTGTACTGGAAGCATGGCACCAGCATCTATTTCTTGTGACGGCCTCAGGCTGCTCCCGCTCTGGCAGAAGGGAAGGAGGGTCTATCTGTGCAGAGACCACAGAGATCACACGGCAAGAGAGGGAGCAAGGGGGAGGGGGAGCGATGGAGCTTCCAAGTTCTTTTTAACAACCAGCTCTCCAGGAACTAATAGAGGGGGAACTTGCTAACCCCATCTCCTTGGGACAGCATTGATCTGTTCATGATGGATCCACCTCCATGACCCAAACACCTCCCAAGAGGCCCAACCTCCCACCCTGGGGGTTACATTTCAATGTGAGGTTTGAAGTGGTCAAACATCTAAACTAAAGCAGTTGTATCCTCAGCACGTTCTATGGTTACTACAACTGAGAAAGCAGGAGGAAGCTAGGTCTCCCGCCATCTGGGTGCTTGTCCTAAAGAGACGTTGTATGTGGTTACCTGTCAATCAAGAAATGTGAGACAATTCATATAGAGGAACTGCTATGATTAGCTTCTTATTGGTGTCTTGTCTTCCTCCAGGTAACTCCAGATACCTGCACGCTCTGATTGGGACCTCAGTGGTCATCATCCCCTTTGCTATCCTCCTCTTCTTTCTCCTTCATCGCTGGTGTGCCAACAAAAAGAGTAAGTCTCACGAAGCAGAAGCCAGAGAGCTCAGGGCCATGTGGGGAAGCAGGATGGGAGCACTCAGGTGTGTGTTCCTTACAGGCAGGATGGTCCCTGACCCAAGGCAGGAGCCACAGAGGCAGGACTTTCTAGAGAGAGCACCAGACTCCCTGCCCCTGCCTTCAGCTCACAGACCATTGCCTGATTCTGAACCATATCCTCACATCCCCTGCAGCCACTCACATCCAGGAGAAGGTTCCATGACAGGCAGAAAGTGGGAGACAGAATCAATGGGATGGGAACTCAGAGCTATTCATGGGATGGGTCCTTGAGCTCAGAGAGATAGAATGTCTGAGTCTGCTGTTGGCAACTGAGGGACCTCAGGCACCTATGGCCTCCCCCTGCATGTTGGTATCTGCTTATGAAATGAGGACCCAGAAGTGCCCTCCGAGCTGTTTTGACGACTTCCGTCTTCTACAGATGCTGTTGTAATGGACCAAGAGCCTGCAGGGAACAGAACAGTGAACAGGGAGGTAGGTGCTCCTCAGCCCAGCCTCATGGCTAGTCTTATTCCCAAAGAGTCCTGAAAAATGTGAGCACCCTCCCTCACTCAGCATTTCCCTCCCTCCAGGACTCTGATGAACAAGACCCTCAGGAGGTGACATACGCACAGTTGAATCACTGCGTTTTCACACAGAGAAAAATCACTCGCCCTTCTCAGAGGCCCAAGACACCCCCAACAGATACCAGCGTGTAACACGGAACTTCCAAATGCTGAGCGCAGATCCAAAGTTGTCTTCTGTCCACCAGCACCACAGTCAGGCCTTGATGGGATCTTCTAGGGAGACAATAGCCCTGTCTCAAAACCGGGTTGCCAGCTCCCATGTACCAGCAGCTGGAATCTGAAGGCGTGAGTCTGCATCTTAGGGCATCGCTCTTCCTCACACCACGAATCTGAACATGCCTCTCTCTTGCTTACAAATGTCTAAGGTCCCCACTGCCTGCTGGAGAGAAAACACACTCCTTTGCTTAGCCCACAATTCTCCATTTCACTTGACCCCTGCCCACCTCTCCAACCTAACTGGCTTACTTCCTAGTCTACTTGAGGCTGCGATCACACTGAGGAACTCACAATTCCAAACATATAAGAGGCTCCCTCTTAACACGGCACTTAGATACATGCTATTCCACCTTTCCTCATGTTGTTCCACCTTTCCTCAGAGTATCTTTCAGCCTTCTGTCAGCAGTAAAACTTATAAATTTTTTTTATAATTTCAATGTAGTTTTCTATTCTTCAAGTAAACATGTCTGCCCTCATGGTTTCGTCAATGGGACTCTTTTCTTGCCTAAGGCTTCCGGTGTTATCATTACCACGTCCACATAACCCCATCTGTTCTCCGCTGGGTTCTCACCCCTGGACTCTGAGCTTCTGGAAGCAGGGTGGAGCCTGAATTGTCTCTGAGACTCCAGTTTCCATCCAAAGATGCAGCACATAGGAGGTTCCAAGGATGGTGAATCAGATGAACAAGTGATATTCTTACTCTCTGCAGATCTGGAAAGCTGGCAGAGTCATTCCACGATGAAACATTTGTAGAGTCATAGGCCTTGTTAGTCTCATCTCCACAGGGACACGTATCAACACATCATCTTTCATACTACTATAAATAGACAGTCACTCCTCCATATCTCTGGGGTTTACACATGTTTATTGAATCAGCAATAAATCAAAAATATTTTGAGAAAAAAAATCCCCGAAGTTTCAAAAAGCAAAAAACTATGTTGAATCGACACAAATTGAGTGGCGTGTAGGCTGTGTCAGGAATTATAAGTAATCAAGAGATGATTTCATGTATACAGGAGGATGTGCATGGGTTCTATGCAATTGCTATGCTATTTTTTTTTTTGAGACAGTCTCACTCTCTCACCCAGGCTGGAGTGCAGTGGCGTGATCTCAACTCACTGCAACCTCCGCCTTCCAGGTTCAAGCGATTCTCTTCCCTCAGCCTCCTCAGTAGCCTCCCCTAGGATTACAGGCACGTGCCACCCTGCACAGATAAATTTTTTTGTGTGTGTATTTTTAGTAGAGACGGGGTTTCAGAATGTTGGACCAGCTGGTCTTGAACTCCTGACCTTGTGATCTACCCAGCTCAGCCTCCCAAAGTGCTGGGATTACGGGCGTGAGCCACGGTGCCCAGCTTCACTATGCCATTTCATGCAAGGGGCTTGAGCATCTGCAGATTTTGGTATCTGAATGGGGATCCTGGAACCAATCACCCAGGTATAGTGAAGGACCATGGTATATAATTTTTATTTGTCAATCTTAAAAATAAAGCATAAAAAATTTACAACAACAAGATAAAAAATAAGAAGTGTTTTTATAGTGTGAGGATAAGTTTAGATTTATTTTTTCCTACGTGTAACCCTATGGTCCTGTGTTATTTGTTGAGAAAATATTCTATTCCACCTTAAACTACATGGCAGCCTTTGTCAACTATAAAGGGACTGTGTATCCACAGATGTATTTTAGACACAGTTTTCTGTCCAGTGGTTCTCTGTATCCCCTCTCATGAGGATGCTGCATTTTATATAAACTTATAGAACCCCTTAAAATTTGGTAACCTGAGTCCTCTGATTTGTTATTATAGGTTATTTAGTTTGCTTTTTTTTTTTCTTGAGACAGACTCTTCCTCTGTCACCCAAGCTGGAGTTCAGTGGCTTGAGCTCAGCTCACTGCAACCTCCGCCTCCCAGGTTCAAGCTATTCTGATGCCTCTGGTTTAGTACTAGAAACTCAAGCAGGAAAATTAGAATGGCTTCTTGTCACAATTACTCTGATAATGTTAATAATACCTGTTAGACATTTTGCACATTACATATGAAGAAGAGTTTGAATCTCAGATAAAAACAAAAATACATCAAAAATCTTTAATGTAAGCACAGAATTCAATCATCTCGTGTATGAGAGGTTGGATCTGAGACGTCTTTTGAGTCTGGTCGTAGTGAAGGACGCAAGGTGTCAATTCTAGTGAGAACAATTTCCAGGAAGCCATGTTCCGCTCTTGAGCGAGCACCCACTGGGCCTCATGCAAGGTAGAAAGAGCCTGCGTACGTCACCCTCCCATGATGTGGTCAACATGTAAACTGCATGGGCAGGGCGCCAAATAACATCCTGTGCGCTGCTGAGCTGAGCTGGGGCGCGGCCGCCTGTCTGCACAGACAGCACCATGTCGCTCATGGTCGTCAGCATGGCGTGTGTTGGTGAGTCCTGGAAGGGAATCGAGGGAGGGAGTGCGGGGATGGAGATTGGGGCCCAGAGTTGGAGATATAGGCCTGGAAGTGGAGTTATGGGCCTAGAGATGGAGTGATGGGCCTAGAAGTGGAGATCTGGGCCTGGAGTGGAGATATGGGCCTGGAGGTTGAGATATGGGCCTGCAGTAGAGATATGGGCTTGTAGTGGAGACATGGGCCTGGAGATGGAGATATGGGCCTGGAGATGGAGATATGGGCCTGCAGTAGAGATATGGGCCTGGAGTGGAGATATGGGCCTGGAGTGGAGATATGGATCTGGAGGTGGAGATACGGGCCTGCAGTAGAGATATGGGCCTGGAGTGGAGATATGGGCCAGGAGTGGAGTTATGGGCCTAGAGGTGGATATCTGGGCCTGGAGTGGAGATATGGGCCTAGGAAGGAGATATGGGCCTGGGTGTGGAGATATGGGACTGGAGAGGTGATATGGGCCTGGAGTGGAGATATGGGCTTAGGGTGGAGATCTGGGCCTGGGGCAGAGATATGGGACTGGATTGGAGATATGGGCCTAGGGTGGAAATATCAGCCTGGAGTGGAGATATGGGCTTGTGGTGGGGATCTGGGCCTGGAAACTGGGTCTCTGCACAGCCGACAGCCCTGTTCTTGGGTGCAGGTAGGCACTGAGGGTGAGTTTAACTTCAGCCCAGGAAGGGCCTGGCTGCCAAGACTCACAGCCCAGTGGGGGCAGCAAGGGAGTCCTGGTTTGCCTGCAGATGGATGGTCCATCATGATCTTTCTTTCCAGGGTTCTTCTTGCTGCAGGGGGCCTGGCCACATGAGGGTGAGTCCTTCTCCAAACCTTCGGTTGTCATCTCCCCACATAAGAGGATTTTCCTGAAACAGGAGGGAAGTCCTGTCAGGGAGTCTCTCATAAACTGGGAAGAGAGGACCCTGGGGTGCTCGGCCCACATTTCTGACCTTGCCTCCCTGGCCTCTCAACCCCTTGGCAGAGTCAAGTTCTGTGGGGACCAGGGTTAGACTGGGGTGCTCAAAGCTGGGGTGTGTGGTGGGGAAGTGGTAGGAACAGCAGATCCTCTGAGGACAAAGGTGTTACTCACACACTTCAGCGTTTCCATGATGGTAGGGGCTGCAGTGTGGCTGCTGTCATTCTACCAGAAGAGGTGGGAAACCACAGCCATGGCCCTGACATTCCAAATCCTCTGATGGGGGCTCAGTTGTTTATTTTCGTTCAGGCATCCGCTGATATCCACTCACAAAGGACATGCCCTCCACCTCATGTCTACCCTGTGTTGTTTTATGTGAGTAATCTTACAGTATTAAAATCTAGTAGGAGTCTCTTTACTCAGCACTTGCTCAAAGTTCTCAGCTGAGGCTTTTGTTGTAGGGAGACACCATGTCTTTGCGGGATGGGTCCTTCCTTCAGCCCTGGGCACCAAGGTGTGATAGTAGCCATAGAAACGTGGAAAGCGAGGAGAATCTTCTGAGCACAGGGAGGGAGGGGCAGTTCCACATCCTCCTCTCTAAGGCGGCGCCTCCTTCTCCCCAAGGTGGTCAGGACAAGCCCTTGCTGTCTGCCTGGCCCAGCCTTGTGGTGCCTCTAGGACATGTCATTCTTCGGTGTCACTCTTATCTTGGGTTTAACAACTTCAGTCTGTACAAGGAAGGTGGGGTGCCTGTCCCTGAGCTCTACAACAGAATATTCTGGAACAGCCTTTTCATGGGCCCTGTGACCCCCGCACAACAGGGACATACAGATGTCGGGGTTCACACACACACTCCCCCAGTGGGTGGTCAGCACCCAGCAACCCCCTGGTGATCGTGGTCATAGGTCAGAGGGCTCCTGTCTTGGATTCTCCTTGTCCCACCTCCTGAATCCCAGAGCTTCTGGTGGGCATGTCCTTGAGGGTCCCATCACGCAGGCCCTGACTGTATTTGTGGTAAAGGGGGATTGAATACAGGGAAATGGGTGCTGTGGTGGGAAGAATAATTGTCCCCAGTGATGACTACATTCTAATCCCTGGAGTCTGTGACTATGTATGTTATAGGGGAAGGGACTGAAGGGGAAGATGGAGCTCATGGGGAGACAGCCTGGACTGTCCCACTGGGCTCAGTGTAATCACAAGGGTGCACATGAAAGGAGGAGGAAGAGGGGAGTGGGGATTAGAGCAGTCCAGTGGAAGTCTTCACCAGCTTTGAAGGTGGAGGAAGGCCAAGAGCCATGAATGCAGGTGGCCTATAGAGGCTGGAAAAGTCAAGGAACTGATTCTCCAGAGTCTCCAGAGGAAACGAAGCCCTGCAGATGCCTTGATTTTAGCCCAGGAAAAATAGGGTCCAATTTCTGTCTCCAGTACTGGAAGGTGTCAGTGTGGTCTCTCCTGCTTCCATGCTTCTGATAATTTTGTACAGCAGCAACAGGAAACCAACACTGGAACCCAGGTCAAGGACAAGTTAAGAAACAACCCAAGGAAAGCCAGGCATGGTGGCAGGCGCATGTAATCCTAGCGACTCAGGAGGCTGAGGGCAGGAGAATCACTTGAACCCAGGAAACAGAGGTTGCAGTGAGCCTAGACCACACCACTTCACTCCAGCCTGGGTGAAGGAGTGAGACTCTGTCTCCAAAATTAATTAATTAATTAAAGAAACCAAACAAGGAGAAGGTTGGCTACCCTGAGATCAGCAAGGGTGGGATGATGATGCCACCACCAGGCTCCATCCACATAGGGAGGGGTTGATACTCCTCCAACCAGCACCAGGAGCCAGCCTATGGAAGCTGGCACCATGGAGAAGGCACAGGCATGGCAAGAGTGGCTCCCAGTCCCGACCAGGAACAGGGTGTGTGGACACTGGTGCCTGCCTTATTCATCAGTTCATACCTTCTGCCAAGGATTGCAATTCATCCAAAAGAGATTGAACAAGGCTGATAAGAGCCTGGATGTGCAGCCTATCCTGGTTCCTCTTTCACCCCCACATAAACAGCAGGAAAGACGTTAGTGTGAAATAGATACAACACCCCAAGAGATGAGGCTAAGCCCAGTGGGAAGGGAATCAGAGGCTACTAGAGACAGAGGGACAGAGAAGAGGGAGGGAGACAGATGGAAGGACCTGCACCAGGAGTTATGGGCACAGAAAAGAACATGAAGACACAGAGAGGAAGGAGAGAGACAGACACCAGCAAGGGGAAGCCTCACTCATTCTAGGTGCCATGGATGGGATGATAAAGAGAGACACCTTCTAAACTCACAACCTCTCTTCTTAGGAGTCCACAGAAAACCTTCCCTCCTGGCCCACCCAGGTCCCCTGGTGAAATCAGAAGAGACAGTCATCCTGCAATGTTGGTCAGATGTCAGGTTTGAGCACTTCCTTCTGCACAGAGAGGGGAAGTATAAGGACACTTTGCACCTCATTGGAGAGCACCATGATGGGGTCTCCAAGGCCAACTTCTCCATCGGTCCCATGATGCAAGACCTTGCAGGGACCTACAGATGCTACGGTTCTGTTACTCACTCCCCCTATCAGTTGTCAGCTCCCAGTGACCCTCTGGACATCGTCATCACAGGTGAGAGTGTCCGGACATTCTCATTGTCATTGGGCTGCAGAGTGAATGATCCACGACTTGGAACCCCCAGGTAGTTGTAAGGAAGATGAGCTTGGTATTCTTATGGAGAGAGACTGACTTGCTGAGGTTTGTACCAACAGAGACAGAGAAACAGGAGACACAAGTACAGACCAGGTGTCATAACGGAGGACAGACACAGGGGCCATACAGGGAGTTAGAAAAGACAGAAAGAGTTAAAGGAGACAGACAGACAGACATGTCCCAGAGAGAGGTGTCCCTCCATGCTGACTTTGCTCACAGACCTGGCACAGGATAGAAGTTTCATTTCTGTTTTACCTCCACAAAGTGTTCTCTACCAGGAGAACCCAAGGACACCCATATTTCTGACCTGAGTTGGGCCCTGTGGCCTCAGGCCTTGTGGCACCTACAGGCCATGTTTATTCTGACACCTCTGCCTTCCATGTAATGGAGAGTAACCGTCCCAGGATATCATGGCCCCAGAACACCAACCCCTGTATGCTGTGTGAACTTGTGGTCTCCAGACTGGATTCTGAGGCTCACATTCCAAATAACCCCACATATGAAAGGATCACTGAGAGGCACAGAGAGAAATCAGGAACACCAAAAAGCAAAGACATAAACACACAGAGAATGGGCCAGAGGAAGGAGATTGAGAGACTCACTGACACATAAAGAGAGAGAAAAGAGGGCAGAGGAGTGGTGAGAATGATGGAAGGGAGCAGAGAAAAGCACTAAAATTAGAGTCCTGAGGGAGAGGCACAAGGACATAGAAAGATGGAGATGTGGGGATGAACTGCAGAGATTCCAAAGAGAACTAGAGAGACCGAGAGGCAGAGCAAGACAGATGATAGATGGATAGATATAGATAGATGATAAATAGGTAGATGATAGATAATAGGTTAAAGATACATAGATGATGATTGATTGATTCATTAATAGATAATACATAGAGATGATGATGATGAAGACAGATAGATAATACGTACAGATAGAGAGGCAGACAGAAATCATAGAGAGAGAGATGATACATACATATAAATAACAGATGATTGATGGATAGATAGACAACTGATAGATACATAGATGATATATAGATATAGATGACAGGTAGAGAATTTGTAGATAGGCACCGAATAGATAAATAGATAGATCGACAGATAATAGATAGAAATATGCAGAAAGTTATGAACAGGACACAACGTGAGAAACTTAGAATTTAAAAAAGTAACATCAAGTCAACCAATCCAAGGAGAGTCAGAGAGAATAAAAGAATCCAAAAAGGGAAAACATATCTAGAGGTGGGGAAGCGAGGTCAGAGACCTAGAGAGACAGAGAAGGTGGAAGGAGGAAATAGACATGAAGAGAGATGGGGTGGAGGGTGAGAGAGAGAGAGAGAGAGCATTAGGTCATAGAGCAGGGGAGTGAGTTCTCAGCTCAGGTGAAGGGAGCTGTGACAAGGAAGATCCTCCCTGAGGAAAATGCCTCTTCTCCTTCCAGGTCTATATGAGAAACCTTCTCTCTCAGCCCAGCCGGGCCCCACGGTTTTGGCAGGAGAGAGCGTGACCTTGTCCTGCAGCTCCCGGAGCTCCTATGACATGTACCATCTATCCAGGGAGGGGGAGGCCCATGAACGTAGGTTCTCTGCAGGGCCCAAGGTCAACGGAACATTCCAGGCCGACTTTCCTCTGGGCCCTGCCACCCACGGAGGAACCTACAGATGCTTCGGCTCTTTCCGTGACTCTCCCTATGAGTGGTCAAACTCGAGTGACCCACTGCTTGTTTCTGTCACAGGTGAGGAAACCCCATATCTGTCTCATGTCCTATGATCCTAGAGCCTTAGCTGAGGAGCTTCCTGCTGATGATGGAGAGAAGCATGGACAGATGCAGAGAGAAGACGAAGCTTGGGTGTGAGGGAGGGATCAGGGCACAGGATGGCAGACAGGGCACCTCCAAACCCTCCTACACGGCCTGCATGAAGGCCCGCGGCCAGGGCTCCAGGCACACAGGCAGATGGAGAAAACGGTCAGGAGAGACCCAGAGGAGAGAGACTGGGCTCAGTTTGGGAAGATCAGAGGTTCCCTCAGCCCCTCAACATTATCCATTTCCCAGAAGCCCATCCTGGCCTCTCACCCACACAGGGATGTCATCACCAGCAACCCCTACACCCTTTACTTTTGTTTGAAGAAATATTTATTGAGGATAAATATACCTATATAGCTTACCACCTTTAACATTTTTTTTTTTTTTGAGGCAGAGTCTAGCTCTGTCCCCTATGCTGGAGTGCAGTGGCACAATCTCAGCTCACTGCAATTTCCGCCTCCTGGGTTCAAGCGATTCTCTTGCCTCAGCCACCTGAGTAGCTGGTGCTACAGGCGCGCACCACCACGCCAGGCTACTTTTTGTATTTTTAGTAGAGAGGTGGTTTCACCATGTTGGTCGAGCTGGTCTCCAACTCCTGACCACGTGATCCACCCGCATGTGCCTCCCAAAGTGCTGGGATTACAGGCATGAGCCACCACGCCCAGCCACATTTACCATTTTTAAGTGTAAAGTCTAGTGGTCATAAATACATTTATATATATATATTTTTTTTTTTTTTTTTTACCCTCCACCCTTTTCTTCCTGGCCTCTGGAAGCCATCATTCTACTCTCTACCTTCATGAGATCCACCTTTTAGCTCTGTATATGGGTGAGAAATGGGAATCTTTGTAATGACTTCCAGTTCCATCCATGTGGCTGCAAATATCAGGATGTTATTCTTTCTATGGATGAGTAGTCTCCACTGTGCGTATGTACTACATTCTCTCTATCCATTCATCCACTGATGGGCAGGTAGGTTGACTCCACATCTTGGCTACTGTGAACAGTGCTGCACCAATCATACGAGTGCAGATATCACTTCGATATATTGATTTACTTTCCTTTGGATATAAACCCAGTAGTGAAATTGCTGGATACTATGAAAGTTCTCTTTTTAGTTTTTCGTTTGTTGTTTTGTTTTTGTTTTTGAGACAGTTTCCCTCTGTGCCCAGGCTGGAGTACAAGTGATGTCATCTTGGCTCATTGCAACCTCTGCCTCCTGGGTTCAAATGATTTTCCTGCCTCAGCCTCCCTAGTAGCTGGGATTACAGGTGCACGCCACCATGCCTGGCTACTTTTTGTTTTTTTTAGTATAGATGGGGTTTCCCCATGTTGGCTGGGCTGCTCTCAAACTCATGACCTCAACTGAGATGCCCGCCTCAGTCTCCCAAAGTGCCGGGATTACAGGCCTGATCCACCACACCCAACCTCTTTTTAGTTCTTTAAAGGACTTCCATACTTTTCTCCGTAATCGCTGTACTAATTTACACTCCTCCCAACAGGGTACCAGGGTTCTCCTTTCTCTACCACCTTGCCAGCATTTCTTTTGCCTGTCTTGCAGCTAAAAGCCATTTTATTTTATTTCATTTTATTTTGAGATGGAGTTTTGCTCTTCTCACCCAGGCAGGAGTGCAGTGGCGCTATCTCGGCTCACCACAACCTCCACCTCCCAGGTTCAAGCGATTCTCCTGCCTCAGCCTCCCGAGTAGCTGGAATTACAGGCACACTCCACCACGCCCGACTAATTTTTGTATTTTTAGTAGAGACAGTGTTTCTCTATGTGGGTCAGACTGGTCTCAAACTCCTGACCTTATGAGATTCACCCACCTCAGGCTCTCAAAGTTCTAGGATGACAGACGTGAGCCACCACGCCCGGCCTAAAAGCCATTTTAATGGGGTGAGATGAAAACTCACTTTGATTTTAATTTGCGTTTCTCTGATGATGAGTGATACTGAGCACTTTTTAGTATGTGGGGAAATTTCATGTCTTCTGCTCCTTTTTCAATTAAATCATTTGTTTTATTGAGTTGTTTGAGCTTCTTATATTTCTAGTTATTAATCCCATCTCAGATGCATAGTTTGCACATATTTGCTCCCAATCTGTGGGTTGTCTCTTCACTTTGTTGGTTTATTTTTAGCAGTGCAGAAGTTGCTTAGTTTGAGGTAATCCCAATGGTCTATTTTTGCTTCGATTACTTGTGTTTTCAAGGTTTAAAACAAAATGTCTTTCTTCAGACAAATGTCCTGGAGCATTTCCCCAATATTTTGTTCTACGTGTTTCATAGGTTCAGGCCTTAGACTCACATCTTTAATCCATTTTCATTTGATTTTTGTGTATGGTGACAGGTAGAGGTGCAGTTTCATTCCTCTGCATGTCGATGTCCAGGTTTCCCTGCACTGTTTATTGAAAAGACTGTCCTTTCCTGATTGTGAGTTCTTGGCACCTTTGTCAAAGTCCATTGGATGGGCTGGGCTTGGTGGCTGACACCTGCAATTTCAGCACTTTGGGAGGCCGAGGCGGGTGGATTACCTGAGGCCAGGAGTTCAAGATCAGTCTGGACGACGTGATGAAACATCGTCTCCACTAAAAATATAAAAATTAGCTGAGCATGGTGGTCAGCACCTGTAATACCACTACTCAGGAGTTTGAGGCAAGAGAATGATTGAACCCAGGAGGCTGAGGTTGCAGTGAACTGAGATTGCACCTCTGCACTCCAGCCTGAGTGACAGAGCAAGACTCCATCTCAAAAGAAAAAATAAAAAACCATTGGATGTAAATGCATGGAATATATCTGTGTTATTCATTCTGCTCCGTTGTTCTATGTCCCTTTCTTTATGCCAATGTCATGCTGTTTTGCTTACTACAGCTCTGTAACATATTTTGAGATCAGGTAGTGTGATGCTCCTGTTTTCTCTTTATACCTTGAAGTCTCAAGACAGTGGGCGTCACATAAAAAAATTATGGAAAAAAGGATCCCAGGACTCCCAGGGCCCAATATTAGATAACAGAGTGTTGGCCATGAACCATCCTCAAAGATTTCCACTGAGTAGAGGACAGACACCCTCATTTCCTCACCTCTCTCCTGTCTCATGTTCTAGGAAACCCTTCAAATAGTTGGCCTTCACCCACTGAACCAAGCTCCAAAACCGGTGAGTACAGAACCCTCTTATATCCGCTTTTGGAAACCTGGGGAGGTGGAAACCTTGGATTCAGGCGTTGACTCAGCATCTCACAGCTCTGACATTGTACCCCTGTCTTCCACCATCTCCGAACTCCAGATACTCCTACAGCGAAAGGGATCTGGGTCCAACACAGGGCTCAGTGAAATCTCTTCATCTCTCATTTTATGGAGCTGAGACTTCCTACAAGCTAGAAGAATGATTGCCAATCTGACATCCTTCTCAGGAAAAATGCAATGTTTGTTCTGCCTGCATTCCTAACTGGAGGATAAATTCCTGGAGACTTGAGAGAGGGAAGGGAAGGGAACATCTGATGAGGGCGAGGTGTTTTAGAGAAGTTCCACTTGCCAAGGAATGAGCTCCTATAGGTCATGAAGCAACCCTGGCTGACTCAGCAGAGAAAGAGCCTTGCTGTAACAGAGAACAGAGCTCATGCACGCACACTTCGACTCACTGACTCATTCAGCCACGGCCCCATGCTCAGGCTGTGCACTGTGGAAGCTTTTCCTATTGTTGCCATAACAAATTTCCACAAGATTCGTGGGTGAAAACAAAACGGTTTTTTAATTATCTTACAGTGCTGTAGCTCAAAGTATGAAGTGCATCTCACTGGGCTAAAATCAAGGTGACAGCAAGGCTGCCTTCCCTCTGAGGATTCCAGGCAAGAATCTGCTTCTCACTTTTCTCAGCTTCTAGAGGCTCCCACATTCCTTCGCTCCTGGTCCCCTTCCTCCTTCCTCAAAGCCCACAAAGACTGGTCACATCTCACATGGCATCACTCAGACCCTTCTTCCTTACCACACCTCTTTCTCTGAATGCTGCTCTCCCTTCTTCCTCATCTTTTGAAAACTTGGGGATTCTATTGGGTTCACCAAGATGAAAATCCATCATAATCTCCCGGAAATCATTCAGGATACCCTTGTTTTAAGTTCAGCTGATTAGCAACCATAATTCCATCTGCAATCTTCATTCCTCCTTTCCATGTAAAATAAGATATTCACAAGCTATGGAGGCTAGGACAGGGACATTTTGGGGTGGGACAGCATTCTCCTGCCTTCCACAAACAGTGAACAAGATGCATTTGGCCTCTGCTCTTTGGACACTGATATTGCAGATGGTTAAATGGGAGGGCAGAAAATGAATGCACAAGTGGACCAATAAATGAATGATCCATTGGGAAGCATCTGTGTATGAAATCTATTTGTTTGTTTCTTCATTTGTTTATTGAGACAGAGTCTCCCTCTGTCTTCCAGGCTACAGTGCAGTGTCACCATCTTGGCTCACTGCAACCTGCACCTTCTGGATCCAAGTGATTCTCCTGCGTCAGCCTCTCAAGTAGCTGGGATTACAGGCAACTGCCACCATGCCCGGCTAATTCTTTTTGTATATTTTTTGTAGAGGATGTTTCACCATCTTCGCCAAGCTTCTCTGAAACTCCCAACCTCAAGTGATCCGACCGTCTCAGCATCCTAAAGTACTGGGATAACTGGCGTGAGCCACTGTGCCCAGCCAGAATTTAAAATAAATAATACATAATGCTGAGTGTATGATTTTGGGTGACAGAGAAGATCTCACTAATCAGATATTTGTGACATTAATGAAAAACACGGATTGAACCCCTGAAAGATTGGCGGAAGGATTTTCCACACACAGCTGTCAGCCGTGAAGGCAGAAAGCTGAAAACAATCTGATGTGGAAGGAAGAGGCTCTGCCTCAAATGCTGGGAATGAGGTGGGGAGAATGACAAGACGACTGTGGAGAGACGGAGAGCACACTGGGTACACAGGAAACTAAGGAGCAACAAGGAGTGTGTGTTTGACACTCACAGCCATTGGATTCACCTCGGGGTAGCCAGGAATCCCTACATGATTAATAGTGACTGACATGAAAATAAGGGAGGCCCAGGTGCGTAACTGGAATCTAGGAGACTGTGGAAAAGGCAATTCCCGCCCCACTGGTGAAATGTGGTGCTGATTTAGACCCTAACTGGGTGAAGCAGATGGATATAAGCTATGCTTGTGAGGTGGAATCATTGGCTGGAAAGGCTTGCTGGGTATGATTTTCCTAGTTGTCTAATCCTCGCTTAATTTCTTTCTGAGCTTTATTCCTACTACACATAAATCAATACCTGGCAAAGGAGTGACAGATATATGAGGGGTGGTGGAAATGAAGGGACCTATTATAGCATAATATACAAGTCTGTGAACGGTGGCTCACGCCTGTAACCCAGCACTGCAGGAGGCCAAGGCGGGTGGATCACATGAAGTCAGCAGTTCGAGACCAGCCTGGCCAACATGGTGAAACCCTGTCTCTAGGAAAAACACAAAAATTAGCCGAGCATGGTGGTGCATCCCTGTAATCCCAGCTCCTACTCTGGAGGATGAAGCAGGAGAATGACTTCAACCCAGGAGGTGGAGGTTGCAGTGAGTGGAGATTGCATCACTGCACTCCAGCCTGGGTGACACAAGGAGACTCCGTCTCAAAAAATAAAAATAAGAAATGCATAAATATAAATATAATATAACACATGCAAATGAGAAAGGGACCTGAATTCCAATCATGATTTTTCTATTTCTCTATAATTACTTCTTTGATCCTTTATCTTATCCATTAGGCAATGAGCCTAAAACCTCTTCCCTATTTGGCTTTCTGTGAGCATGAGATCATATAGAAAATGTGAAAGCCCGCTGAATCCTCCAGCACAGATCCTGGAATACACAAAGTGCTCTGTTCATCACAAGAAAACATGCCCTCTCACCCAAATCCCCCACCTCACCCCTACTTCCAATCATCTGTGGAGATTCAGATAGGCCATGGGGAGGTAAATTCTAATACTCCTTGGAGTGAGTCCAGATCTTGGAATCAGAGATTAGCGTCAGCAGTAGCTCCTGCTCCCCTTTCCTACTAATTCACAGGAGGACAGGTGGTATTGAAGCAATAGATGGCCGAGGGGGTGGTCCTTCCCCCAGCCTCTCGGGTAGAACAGCAACCTAACATGTGTCTCCTGAGATCACAAAGAGTAGCACGTTTCACATGGGCTTCAACACTGTTTCCTGGCCATTTGACATAAGAGAATTCTACTTCGCTTTTTTTATCTTGATTTCACTTTTGTTTCCTTTTCTTGGAGAATGCAAGTTGTTTGACTCAAGAATGCCGTGGATGTAGAAATCCTAAAGCACAGTCGCTGTGTATCAATCCCAGTGCAGTCTTCCCAGAGAAGACTCTAAACACCTCCTGGACTGCACCTGGGCCTATGCCAATTCCTATCACTCACCGTCACTCCAGGGAGACAGAACACACAGAGAATACATTACACAGGCAGGTTCATTACTAACAGATAAGCAGCGAGTGACAACAGAAGCCTACATTTCAATGTGAGCCAGTCCCTCAAGGCTCAGAAAAGCTGCTCGGGACATATGGAGTCACCCCATTTGCAGTGTAGCTGGGGGAAGCCAGAAAGCAGCCCAGCCTGGGTTTTGTACCCTGGAGCCACAGGAAGCACTCAGCTAAAGCACTGCATGACGCCTTCCTCCAGGAAGAACAGGAAGACAGCCCAGGCTGTTCTGAGACATTCCTCCTGATCTCAGGTCGTTGCTGTCTTAGTTTTTTTTTTTGTTGCTCTGAAGGAACACTTGAGCCTCGGTAACTTCTAAAGAAAAGAGATCGGTTTGCCTCACAGTTCTGCAGGCTGTACTGGAAGCATGGCACCAGAATCTATTTCTCGTGATGGCCTCAGGCTGCTCCCACTCTGGCAGAAGGGAAGGAGGGTCTGTCTGTGCAGAGACCACAGAGATCACACGGCAAGAGAGAGAGTAAGGGGGAGAGGGAGCAATGGAGCTTCCAAGCTCTTTTTAACAACCAGCTGTCCAGGAACTAACAGAGGGGGAACTTGCTAACCCCGTCTCCTTGGGACAGCATTGATCTGTTCATGATGGATCCACCTCCATGACCCAAACACCTCTGAAGAGGCCCAACCTCCCACAATGGGGGTGAAATTTCAATGTGAGGTTTGAAGGGGTCAAACATCTCAACTAAAGTAGTTGTATCCTCAGCACGTTCTATGGTTACTATGAGAGCTATAATTGAGAAAGCAGGGGAAAGCTAGGTCTCCCGCCATTTGGGTGCTTGTCCTAAAGAGACGTTGTATGTGGTTACCTGCCAATCAAGAAATGCGAGACAATTCATAAAGAGGAACTGCTATGATTAGCTTCTTATTGGTGTCTCCTCTTCTTCCAGGTAACCCCAGACACCTGCATGTTCTGATTGGGACCTCAGTGGTCAAAATCCCTTTCACCATCCTCCTCTTCTTTCTCCTTCATCGCTGGTGCTCCAACAAAAAAAGTAAGTCTCACGAAGCAGAGGCCAGAGAGCTCAGGGCCATGTGGGGAAGCAGGATGGGAGCACTCAGGTGTGTGTTCCTCACCAGCAGGATGGTCCCTGGCCCAAGACAGGAGCCACAGAGGCAGGACTTTCTAGAGAGAGCACCAGATTCCCTTCCCCTGCCTTCAGCTCACAGACCGTTGCCTGATTCTGAACTGTACCCTCACGTCCCCTGCAGCCACTCACATCCAGGAGAAGGTTCCATGACAGGCAGAAAGTGGGAGATAGAATCAATGGGATGGGAACTCAGAGCTATTCATGGGATGGGTCCTTGAACTCAGAGAGATAGAATGTCTGAGTCTGCTGTTGGCAACTGAGGGACCTCAGGCACCTATGGCCTCCCCCTGTTTGTTGGTATCTGCTTATGAAATGAGGACCCAGAAGTGCCCTCCGAGCTCTTTTGTTGACTTCCGTCTTCTACAGATGCTGCTGTAATGGACCAAGAGCCTGCAGGGAACAGAACAGTGAACAGCGAGGTAGGTGCTCCTCGGCCCAGCCTCGTGGCTAGTCTTATTCCCAAAGAGTCCTGAAAAATGTGAGCACCCTCCCTCACTCAGCATTTCCCTCTCTCCAGGATTCTGATGAACAAGACCATCAGGAGGTGTCATACGCATAATTGGATCACTGTGTTTTCACACAGAGAGAAATCACTCGCCCTTCTGAGAGGCCCAAGACACCCCCAACAGATACCAGCATGTACATAGAACTTCCAAATGCTGAGCCCAGATCCAAAGTTGTCTTCTGTCCACGAGCACCACAGTCAGGCCTTGAGGGGATCTTCTAGGGAGACAACAGCCCTGTCTCAAAACCGGGTTGCCAGCTCCCATGTACCAGCAGCTGGAATCTGAAGGCATCAGTCTTCATCTTAGGGCATCGCTCTTCCTCACACCACGAATCTGAACATGCCTCTCTCTTGCTTACAAATGTCTAAGGTCCCCACTGCCTGCTGGAGAGAAAACACACTCCTTTGCTTAGCCCACAATTCTCCATTTCACTTGACCCCTGCCCACCTCTCCAACCTAACTAGCTTACTTCCTAGTCTACCTGAGGCTGCAATCACACTGAGGAACTCACAATTCCAAACATACAAGAGGCTCCCTCTTAACACAGCACTTAGACACGTGCTGTTCCACCTCCCTTCAGACTATCTTTCAGCCTTCTGCCAGCAGTAAAACTTATAAATTTTTTAAATAATTTCAATGTAGTTTTCCCGCCTTCAAATAAACATGTCTGCCCTCATGGTTTCGGTAACGAGACTCTTCTCTTGCCTAAGGCTTCCGGTGTTATCATTACCATGTCCACATAACCCCATCTGTTCTCCATTGGGTTCTCAGCCCTGGACTCTGAGCTTCTGGAAGCAGAATGGAGCCTGAATTGTCTCTGAGACTCCAATTTCCATCCAAAGATACAGCACATAGGAGGCTCCAAGGATCGTGAATCACATGAACAAGTGATATTCTTACTCTCTGCAGACCTGGAAAGCTGGCAGAGTCATTCCACGATGAAACATTTGTAGAGTCATAGGCCTTGTTAGTCTCATCTCCACGGGGACACATATCAACATATCATCTTTCATAATATAAATATACAGTCGGTCCTCCATATCTGTGGGGTTTACAGGTGTTTATTGAACCAACAATAAATCAAAAATATTTTGAGAAAAAAATCCCCGAAGTTTCAAGAAGCAAAAAACTATGTTGAATCGACACAAATTGAGTGGCGTGTAGGCTGTGTCAGGAATTATAAGTAATCAAGAGATGATTTCATGTATACAGGAGGATGTGCATGGGTTCTATGCAATTGCTATGCTATTTTTTTTTTTTGAGACAGTCTCACTCTCTCACCCAGGCTGGAGTGCAGTGGCGTGATCTCAACTCACTGCAACCTCCGCCTCCCAGGTTCAAGCGATTGTCTTCCCTCAGCCTCCCCAGTAGCCTCCCCTAGGATTACAGGCACGTGCCACCATGCACAGATAAATTTTTTTGTGTGTGTATTTTTAGTAGAGACGGGGTTTCAGAATGTTGGACCAGCTGGTCTTGAACTCCTGACCTTGTGATCTACCCAGCTCAGCCTCCCAAAGTGCTGGGATTACGGGCGTGAGCCACGGTGCCCAGCTTCACTATGCCATTTCATGCAAGGGGCTTGAGCATCTGCAGATTTTGGTATCTGAATGGGGATCCTGGAACCAATCACCCAGGTATAGTGAAGGACCATGGTATATAATTTTTATTTGTCAATCTTAAAAATAAAGCATAAAAAATTTACAACAACAAGATAAAAAATAAGAAGTGTTTTTATAGTGTGAGGATAAGTTTAGATTTATTTTTTCCTACGTGTAACCCTATGGTCCTGTGTTATTTGTTGAGAAAATATTCTATTCCACCTTAAACTACATGGCAGCCTTTGTCAACTATAAAGGGACTGTGTATCCACAGATGTATTTTAGACACAGTTTTCTGTCCAGTGGTTCTCTGTATCCCCTCTCATGAGGATGCTGCATTTTATATAAACTTATAGAACCCCTTAAAATTTGGTAACCTGAGTCCTCTGATTTGTTATTATAGGTTATTTAGTTTGCTTTTTTTTTTTTCTTGAGACAGACTCTTCCTCTGTCACCCAAGCTGGAGTTCAGTGGCTTGAGCTCAGCTCACTGCAACCTCCGCCTCCCAGGTTCAAGCTATTCTGATGCCTCTGGTTTAGTACTAGAAACTCAAGCAGGAAAATTAGAATGGCTTCTTGTCACAATTACTCTGATAATGTTAATAATACCTGTTAGACATTTTGCACATTACATATGAAGAAGAGTTTGAATCTCAGATAAAAACAAAAATACATCAAAAATCTTTAATGTAAGCACAGAATTCAATCATCTCGTGTATGAGAGGTTGGATCTGAGACGTCTTTTGAGTCTGGTCGTAGTGAAGGACGCAAGGTGTCAATTCTAGTGAGAACAATTTCCAGGAAGCCATGTTCCGCTCTTGAGCGAGCACCCACTGGGCCTCATGCAAGGTAGAAAGAGCCTGCGTACGTCACCCTCCCATGATGTGGTCAACATGTAAACTGCATGGGCAGGGCGCCAAATAACATCCTGTGCGCTGCTGAGCTGAGCTGGGGCGCGGCCGCCTGTCTGCACAGACAGCACCATGTCGCTCATGGTCGTCAGCATGGCGTGTGTTGGTGAGTCCTGGAAGGGAATCGAGGGAGGGAGTGCGGGGATGGAGATCGGGGCCCAGAGTTGGAGATATAGGCCTGGAAGTGGAGTTATGGGCCTAGAGATGGAGTGATGGGCCTAGAAGTGGAGATCTGGGCCTGGAGTGGAGATATGGGCCTGGAGGTTGAGATATGGGCCTGCAGTAGAGATATGGGCTTGTAGTGGAGACATGGGCCTGGAGATGGAGATATGGGCCTGGAGATGGAGATATGGGCCTGCAGTAGAGATAGGGGCCTGGAGTGGAGATATGGGCCTGGAGTGGAGATATGGGCCTGAAGTGGAGATATGGGCCTGGAGGTGGAGATATGGGCCTGGAGGTGGAGATATGGGCCTGGAGTGGAGATATGGGTCTGGAGGTGGAGATACGGGCCTGCAGTAGAGATATGGGCCTGGAGTGGAGATATGGGCCAGGAGTGGAGTTATGGGCCTAGAGGTGGATATCTGGGCCTGGAGTGGAGATATGGGCCTAGGAAGGAGATATGGGCCTGGGTGTGGAGATATGGGACTGGAGAGGTGATATGGGCCTGGAGTGGAGATATGGGCTTAGGGTGGAGTTCTGGGCCTGGGGCGGAGATATGGGACTGGATTGGAGATAGGGGCCTAGGGTGGAGATCTGAGCCTGGATTGGCGATATGGGCCTAGGGTGGAAATATCAGCCTGGAGTGGAGATATGGGCTTGGGGTGGGGATATGGGCCTGGAAACTGGGTCTCTGCACAGCCGACAGCCCTGTTCTTGGGTGCAGGTAGGCACTGAGGGTGAGTTTAACTTCAGCCCAGGAAGGGCCTGGCTGCCAAGACTCACAGCCCAGTGGGGGCAGCAAGGGAGGGCTGGTTCGCCTGCAGATGGATCGTCCATCATGATCTTTCTTTCCAGGGTTCTTCTTGCTGCAGGGGGCCTGGCCACATGAGGGTGAGTCCTTCTCCAAACCTTCGGGTGTCATCTCCCCACATAAGAGGATTTTCCTGAAACAGGAGGGAAGTCCTGTCGGGGAGTCTCTCATAAACTAGGAAGAGAGGACCCTGGGGTGCTCAGCCCACATTTCTGACCTCGCCTCCCTGGCCTCTCAACCCCTTGGCAGAGTCAAGTTCTGTGGGGACCAGGGTTAGACTGGGGTGCTCAAAGCTGGGGTGTGTGGTTGGGAAGTGGTAGGAACAGCAGATCCTCTGAGGACAAAGGTGTTACTCACACACTTCAGCGTTTCCATGATGGTAGGGGCTGCAGTGTGGCTGCTGTCATTCTACCAGAAGAGGTGGGAAACCACAGCCATGGCCCTGACATTCCAAATCCTCTGATGGGGGCTCAGTTGTTTATTTTCGTTCAGGCATCCGCTGATATCCATTCACAAAGGACATGCCCTCCACCTCATGTCTACCCTGTGTTGTTTTATGTGAGTAATCTTACAGTATCAAAATCTAGTAGGAGTCTCTTTACTCAGCACTTGCTCAAAGTTCTCAGCTGAGGCTTTTGTTGTAGGGAGACACCATGTCTTTGCGGGATGGGTCCTTCCTTCAGCCCTGGGCACCAAGGTGTGATAGTAGCCATAGAAACGTGGAAAGCGAGGAGAATCTTCTGAGCACAGGGAGGGAGGGGCAGTTCCACATCCTCCTCTCTAAGGCGGCGCCTCCTTCTCCCCAAGGTGGTCAGGACAAGCCCTTGCTGTCTGCCTGGCCCAGCCTTGTGGTGCCTCTAGGACATGTCATTCTTCGGTGTCACTCTTATCTTGGGTTTAACAACTTCAGTCTGTACAAGGAAGGTGGGGTGCCTGTCCCTGAGCTCTACAACAGAATATTCTGGAACAGCCTTTTCATGGGCCCTGTGACCCCCGCACAACAGGGACATACAGATGTCGGGGTTCACACACACACTCCCCCAGTGGGTGGTCAGCACCCAGCAACCCCCTGGTGATCGTGGTCATAGGTCAGAGGGCTCCTGTCTTGGATTCTCCTTGTCCCACCTCCTGAATCCCAGAGCTTCTGGTGGGCATGTCCTTGAGGGTCCCATCACGCAGGCCCTGACTGTATTTGTGGTAAAGGGGGATTGAATACAGGGAAATGGGTGCTGTGGTGGGAAGAATAATTGTCCCCAGTGATGACTACATTCTAATCCCTGGAGTCTGTGACTATGTATGTTATAGGGGAAGGGACTGAAGGGGAAGATGGAGCTCATGGGGAGACAGCCTGGACTGTCCCACTGGGCTCAGTGTAATCACAAGGGTGCACATGAAAGGAGGAGGAAGAGGGGAGTGGGGATTAGAGCAGTCCAGTGGAAGTCTTCACCAGCTTTGAAGGTGGAGGAAGGCCAAGAGCCATGAATGCAGGTGGCCTATAGAGGCTGGAAAAGTCAAGGAACTGATTCTCCAGAGTCTCCAGAGGGAACAAAGCCCTGCAGATGCCTTGATTTTAGCCCAGGAAAAATAGGGTCCAATTTCTGTCTCCAGTACTGGAAGGTGTCAGTGTGGTCTCTCCTGCTTCCATGCTTCTGATAATTTTGTACAGCAGCAACAGGAAACCAACACTGGAACCCAGGTCAAGGACAAGTTAAGAAACAACCCAAGGAAAGCCAGGCATGGTGGCAGGTGCATGTAATCCTAGCGACTCAGGAGGCTGAGGGCAGGAGAATCACTTGAACCCAGGAAACAGAGGTTGCAGTGAGCCTAGACCACACCACTTCACTCCAGCCTGGGTGAAGGAGTGAGACTCTGTCTCCAAAATTAATTAATTAATTAAAGAAACCAAAGAAGGAGAAGGTTGGCTACCCTGAGATCAGCAAGGGTGGGATGATGATGCCACCACCAGGCTCCATCCACATAGGGAGGGGTTGATACTCCTCCAACCAGCACCAGGAGCCAGCCTATGGAAGCTGGCACCATGGAGAAGGCACAGGCATGGCAAGAGTGGCTCCCAGTCCCCACCAGGAACAGGGTGTGTGGACACTGGTGCCTGCCTTATTCATCAGTTCATATCTTCTGCCAAGGATTGCAATTCATCCAAAAGAGATTGAACCAGGCTGATAAGAGCCTGGATGTGCAGCCTATCCTGGTTCCTCTTTCACCCCCACATAAACAGCAGGAAAGACATTAGTGTGAAATAGATACAACACCCCAAGAGATGAGGCTAAGCCCAGTGGGAAGGGAATCAGAGGCTACTAGAGACAGAGGGACAGAGAAGAGGGAGGGAGACAGATGGAAGGACCTGCACCAGGAGTTAAGGGCACAGAAAAGAACATGAAGACACAGAGAGGAAGGAGAGAGACAGACACCAGCAAGGGGAAGCCTCACTCATTCTAGGTGCCATGGATGGGATGATAAAGAGAGACACCTTCTAAACTCACAACCTCTCTTCCTAGGAGTCCACAGAAAACCTTCCCTCCTGGCCCACCCAGGTCGCCTGGTGAAATCAGAAGAGACAGTCATCCTGCAATGTTGGTCAGATGTCAGGTTTGAGCACTTCCTTCTGCACAGAGAAGGGAAGTTTAAGGACACTTTGCACCTCATTGGAGAGCACCATGATGGGGTCTCCAAAGCCAACTTCTCCATCGGTCCCATGATGCAAGACCTTGCAGGGACCTACAGATGCTACGGTTCTGTTACTCACTCCCCCTATCAGTTGTCAGCTCCCAGTGACCCTCTGGACATCGTCATCACAGGTGAGAGTGTCCGGACATTCTCATTGTCATTGGGCTGCAGAGTGAATGATCCACGACTTGGAACCCCCAGGTAGTTGTAAGGAAGATGAGCTTGGTATTCTTATGGAGAGAGACTGACTTGCTGAGGTTTGTACCAACAGAGACAGAGAAACAGGAGACACAAGTACAGACCAGGTGTCATAACGGAGGACAGACACAGGGGCCATACAGGGAGTTAGAAAAGACAGAAAGAGTTAAAAGAGACAGACAGACAGACATGTCCCAGAGAGAGGTGTCCCTCCATGCTGACTTTGCTCACAGACCTGGCACAGGTTAGAAGTTTCATTTCTGTTTTACCTCCACAAAGTGTTCTCTACCAGGAGAACCCAAGGACACCCATATTTCTGACCTGAGTTGGGCCCTGTGGCCTCAGGCCTTGTGGCACCTACAGGCCATGTTTATTCTGACACCTCTGCCTTCCATGTAATGGAGAGTAACCGTCCCAGGATATCATGGCCCCAGAACACCAACCCCTGTATGCTGTGTGAACTTGTGGTCTCCAGACTGGATTCTGAGGCTCACATTCCAAATAACCCCACATATGAAAGGATCACTGAGAGGCACAGAGAAAAATCAGGAACACCAAAAAGCAAAGACATAAACACACGGAGAATGAGCCAGAGGAAGGAGATTGAGAGACTCACAGACACATAAAGAGAGAGAAAAGAGGGCAGAGGAGTGGTGAGAATGATGGCAGGGAGCAGAGAAAAGCACTAAAATTAGAGTCCTGAGAGAGAGGCACAAGGACATAGAAACATGGAGATGTGGGGATGAATTGCAGAGATTCCAAAGAGAGCTAGAGAGACCGAGAGGCAGAGCAATACAGATGATAGATGGATAGATATAGATAGATGATAAATAGGTAGATGATAGATAATAGGTTAAAGATACATAGATGATGATTGATTGATTCATTAATAGATAATACATAGAGATGATGATGATGAAGACAGATAATACGTACAGATAGAGAGGCAGACAGAAATCATAGAGAGAGAGATGATACATACATATAAATAACAGATGATTGATGGATAGATAGACAACTGATAGATACATAGATGATATATAGATATAGATGACAGGTAGAGAATTTGTAGATAGGCACCGAATAGATAAATAGATAGATCGACAGATAATAGATAGAAATATGCAGAAAGTTATGAACAGGACACAACGTGAGAAACTTAGAATTTAAAAAAGTAACATCAAGTCAACCAATCCAAGGAGAGTCAGAGAGAATAAAACAATCCAAAAACGGAAAACATATCTAGAGGTGGGGAAGCGAGGTCAGAGACCTAGAGAGACAGAGAAGGTGGAAGAAGGAAATAGACATGAAGAGAGATGGGGTGGAGGGTGAGAGAGAGAGAGAGAGAGCATTAGGTCATAGAGCAGGGGAGTGAGTTCTCAGCTCAGGTGAAGGGAGCTGTGACAAGGAAGATCCTCCCTGAGGAAAATGCCTCTTCTCCTTCCAGGTCTATATGAGAAACCTTCTCTCTCAGCCCAGCCGGGCCCCACGGTTCTGGCAGGAGAGAGCGTGACCTTGTCCTGCAGCTCCCGGAGCTCCTATGACATGTACCATCTATCCAGGGAGGGGGAGGCCCATGAATGTAGGTTCTCTGCAGGGCCCAAGGTCAACGGAACATTCCAGGCCGACTTTCCTCTGGGCCCTGCCACCCACGGAGGAACCTACAGATGCTTCGGCTCTTTCCGTGACTCTCCATACGAGTGGTCAAACTCGAGTGACCCACTGCTTGTTTCTGTCACAGGTGAGGAAACCCCATATCTGTCTCATGTCCTATGATCCTAGAGCCTTAGCTGAGGAGCTTCCTGCTGATGATGGAGATAAGCATGGACAGATGCAGAGAGAAGACGAAGCTTGGGTGTGAGGGAGGGATCAGGGCACAGGATGGCAGACAGGGCACCTCCAAACCCTCCTACACGGCCTGCATGAAGGCCCGCGGCCAGGGCTCCAGGCACACAGGCAGATGGAGAAAGCGGTCAGGAGAGACCCAGAGGAGGGAGACTGGGCTCAGTTTGGGAAGATCAGAGGTTCCCTCAGCCCCTCAACATTACCCATTTCCCAGAAGCCCATCCTGGCCTCTCACCCACACAGGGATGTCATCACCAGCAACCCCTACACCCTTTACTTTTGTTTGAAGAAATATTTATTGAGGATAAATATACCTATATAGCTTACCACCTTTAACATTTTTTTTTTTTTTGAGGCAGAGTCTAGCTCTGTCCCCTATGCTGCAGTGCAGTGGCACAATCTCAGCTCACTGCAACTTCCGCCTCCTGGGTTCAAGTGATTCTCCTGCCTCAGCCACCTGAGTAGCTGGTGCTACAGGCGCGCACCACCACGCCAGGCTACTTTTTGTATTTTTAGTAGAGAGGTGGTTTCACCATGTTGGTCGAGCTGGTCTCCAACTCCTGACCACGTGATCCACCCGCATCTGCCTCCCAAAGTGCTGGGATTACAGGCATGAGCCACCACTCCCAGCCACATTTACCATTTTTAAGTGTAAAGTCTAGTGGTCATAAATACATTTATAAATATATATATATATATATATGTATGTATATATATATACACACACATATATATACATATATATATGTGTATATATATATATATATATATATATATATATATATATATATATATATTTTTTTTTTTTTTTACCCTCCACCCTTTTCTTCCTGGCCTCTGGAAGCCACCATTCTACTCTCTACCTTCATGAGATCCACCTTTTAGCTCTGTATATGGGTGAGAAATGGGAATCTTTGTAATGACTTCCAGTTCCATCCATGTGGCTGCAAATATCAGGATGTTATTCTTTCTATGGATGAGTAGTCTCCACTGTGCGTATGTACTACATTCTCTCTATCCATTCATCCACTGATGGGCAGGTAGGTTGACTCCACATCTTGGCTACTGTGAACAGTGCTGCACCAATCATACGAGTGCAGATATCACTTCGATATATTGATTTACTTTCCTTTGGATATAAACCCAGTAGTGAAATTGCTGGATACTATGAAAGTTCTCTTTTTAGTTATTCGTTTGTTGTTTTGTTTTTGTTTTTGAGACAGTTTCCCTCTGTGCCCAGGCTGGAGTACAAGTGATGTCATCTTGGCTCATTGCAACCTCTGCCTCCTGGGTTCAAATGATTTTCCTACCTCAGCCTCCCTAGTAGCTGGGATTACAGGTGCACGCCACCATGCCTGGCTACTTTTTGGTTTTTTTAGTATAGATGGGGTTTCCCCATGTTGGCTGGGCTGCTCTCAAACTCATGACCTCAACTGAGGTGTCCGCCTCGGTCTCCCAAAGTGCCGGGATTACAGGCATGATCCACCTCACCCAACCTCTTTTTAGTTCTTTAAAGGACTTCCACACTTTTCTCCGTAAAGGCTGTACTAATTTACACTCCTACCAACAGGGTATTAGGGTTCTCCTTTCTCTACCACTTTGGCAGGATTTCCTTTGCCTGTCTTGCAGCTAAAAGCCATTTTACTTTATTTCATTTTATTTTGAGATGGAGTTTCGCTCTTCTCACCCAGGCTGGAGTGCAGTGGTGCGATCTCGGCTCACCACAACCTCCACCTCCCAGGTTCAAGCGATTCTCCTGCCTCAGCCTCCCGAGTAGCTGGAATTACAGGCACACGCCACCACGCCCGACTAATTTTTGTATTTTTAGTAGAGACAGTGTTTCTCCATGTGGGTCAGACTGGTCTCAAACTCCCGACCTTATGAGATTCACCCACCTCAGGCTCTCAAAGATCTAGGATGACAGACGTGAGCCACCACGCCCGGCCTAAAAGCCATTTTAATGGGGTGAGATGAAAACTCACTTTGATTTTAATTTGCGTTTCTCTGATGATGAGTGATACTGAGCAGTTTTTCGTATGTGGGGAAATTTCATGTCTTTTGCTCCTGTTTCAATTAAATCATTTGTTTTATTGAGTTGTTTGAGCTTCTTATATTTCTAGTTATTAATCCCATCTCAGATGCATAGTTTGCACATATTTGCTCCCAATCTGTGGGTTGTCTCTTCACTTTGTTGGTTTATTTTTAGCGGTGCAGAAGTTGCTTAGCTTGAGGTAATCCCAATGGTCTATTTTTGCTTCGATTACTTGTGTTTTGAAGGTTTAAAACAAAATGTCTTCCTTCAGACAAATGTCCTGGAGCATTTCCCCAATATTTTCTTCTACGTGTTTCATAGGTTCAGGCCTTAGACTCACATCTTTAATCCATTTTCATTTGATTTTTGTGTATGGTGACAGGTAGAGGTGCAGTTTCATTCCTCTGCATGTAGATGTCCAGGTTTCCCTGCACTGTTTATTGAAAAGACTGTCCTTTCCTGATTGTGAGTTCTTGGCACCTTTGTCAAAGTCCATTGGATGGGCTGGGCATGGTGACTGACACCTGCAATTTCAGCACTTTGGGAGCCCAAGGCGGGTGGATCACCTGAGGCCAGGAGTTCAAGATTAGTCTGGCCGACGTGATGAAACATTGTCTCCACTAAAAATATATAAATTAGCTGAGCATGGTGGTCAGCACCTATAATACCACTACTCAGGAGTTTGAGGCCAGAGAATTGATTGAACCCAGGAGGCTGTGGTGGCAGTGAACCGAGATTGCACCTCTGCACTCCAGCCTGGGTGACAGAGCGAGACTCCATCTCAAAAGAAAAAAGAAAAAAACATTGGATGTAAATGCATGGATTATATTTGTGTTGTTCATTCTGCTCCATTGTTCTATGTGCCTTTCTTCATGCCAACATCATGCTGTCTTGCTTACTACAGCTCTGTAACATATTTTGAGATCAGGTAGTGTGATGCTCCTGTTTTCTCTTTATACCTTGAAGTCTCAAGACAATGGGCGTCACATACAAAAATTATGGAAAAAAGGATCCCAGGACTCCCAGGGCCCAATATTAGATAACAGAGTGTTGGCCATGAACCAACCTCAAAGATTTCCATTGAGTAGAGGACAGACACCCTCATTTCCTCACCTCTCTCCTGTCTCATGTTCTAGGAAACCCTTCAAATAGTTGGCCTTCACCCACTGAACCAAGCTCTAAAACCGGTGAGTACAGAACCCTCTTATATCCGCTTTTGGAAACCTGGGGAGGTAGAAACCTTCGATGCAGGCATTGACTCAGCATCTCGCAGCTCTGACATTGTACGCCTGTCTTCTACCATCTCCGAACTCCAGATACTCCAACAGCGAAAGGGATCTGGGCCCAACCTAGGGCTCAGTGAAATCTCTTAATCTCTCATTTTATGGAGCTGAGACCTCCTACAAGCTAGAAGAATGATTGCCAATCTGACATCCTTCTCAGGAAAAATGCAATGTTTGTTCTGCCTGCATTCCTAACTGGAGGATAAATTCCTGGGGGCTTGAGAGAGGGAAGGGAAGGGAACATCTGATGAGGGCGAGGTGTTTTAGAGAAGTTCCACTTGCCAAGGAATGAATTACTGTTGGTCATGAAGCAACCCTGGCTGACTCAGCAGAGCAACAGCCTTGCCGTAACAGAGAACGGAGCTCATGCACGCACACTTCGACTCACTGACTCATTCAGCCACGGCCCCATGCTCAGGCTGTGCAGTGCGGAACCTTTTCCTATTGTTGCCATAACAAATTTCCACAAGATTCGTGGGTGAAAACAAAACGGTTTTTTAATTATCTTACAGTGCTGTAGCTCAAAGTAGGAAGTGCATCTTACTGGGCTAAAATCAAGGTGACAGCAAGGCTGCCTTCCCTCTGAGGATTCCAGGCAAGAATCTGCTTCTCACTTGTCCCAGCTTCTAAAGGCTCCCAGTTCCTTGGCTCCTGGTCCCCTTCCTCCTTCCTCAAAACCCACAAAGACTGGTCACATCTCACATGGCATCACTCAGTGCCTTCTTCCTTACCACACCTCTTTCTCTGAATGCTGCTCTCCCTTCTTCCTTATCTTTTGAAAACTTGGGGATTCTATTGGGTTCACCAAGATGAAAATCCCTCATAATCTCCTGGAAATCATCCAGGATACCCTTGTTTTAAGTTCAGCTGATTAGCAACCGTAATTCCATCTACAATCTTCATTCCTCCTTTCCATGTAAAATAACATATTCACAAGGTATGGAGGCTAGGACAGGGACATTTTGGGGTGGGACAGCATTCTCCTGCCTTCCACAAACAGTGAACAAGATGCATTTGGCCTCTGCCCTTGGGACACTGATATTGCAGATGGTTAAATGGGAGGGCAGAAAATGAATGCACAAGTGGATCTATAAATGAATGATCCATTGGGAAGCATCTGTGCATGAAATCTATTTTTTGTTTGTTCTTTTGTTTATTGAGACAGAGTTGCCCTCTGTCTTCCAGGCTACAGTGCAGTGTCACGATCTTGGCTCACTGCAACCTGCTTCTCCTGGATTCAAGTGATTCTCCTGCCTCCGCCTCTCGAGTAGCTGGGATTACAGGCAACTGCCACCGTGCCCGGCTAATTCTTTTTGTATATTTTTTGTAGAGAGGATGTTTCACCACGTTGGCCAAGCTTGTCTGAAACTCCCAACCTCAAGTGATCCGACCGTCTCAGCATGCCAAAGTAATGGGACTACAGGCGTGAGCCACTGTGCCCAGCCAGAATTCAAAATCAATAATAGATAATGCTGAGTGTATGATTTCAGGTGACAAAGAAGGTCTCACTATTCAGATATTTGTGACATTAATGAAAAACACGGATTGAACCCCTGAAAGATTGGCGGAAGGATTTTGCACACACAGCTGTCAGCCGTGAAGGCACAAAGGTGAAAACAATCTGATGTGGAAGGAAGAGGCTCTTCCTCAAATGCTGGGAATGATGTGGGGAGAATGACAAGATGACTGTGGAGAGACGGAGAGCACACTGGGTACACAGGAAACTAAGGAGGAACAAGGAGTGTGTGTTTGACACTCACAGCCATTGGATTCACCTCGGGGTAGCCAGGAATCCCTACATGATTAATATGACTGACATGAAAATAAGGGAGGCTCAGTTGCATAACTGGAATCTAGGAGACCGTGGAAAAGGCAATTGCCGCCCCACTGGTGAAATGTGGTGCTGATTTAGACACTAAATGAATGAAGTAGATGGATATAAGATAGGTTTGTGAGGTAGAATCATTGACTGGAAAGGCTTGCTGGGTTTGATTTTCCTACTTGTTTAATCCTCGCTTAATTAATTTCTTTCTGAGATTTATTCATCCTACACATAAATCAATACCTGGCAAAGGAGTGACAGATATATGAGGGGTGGTGGAAATGAAGAGACCTATTATAGCATAATATACAAGTCTGTGAACGGTGGCTCACGCCTGTAACCCAGCACTGCAGGAGGCCAAGGCGGGTGGATCACATGAAGTCAGCAGTTCGAGACCAGCCTGGCCAACATGGTGAAACCCTGTCTCTAGGAAAAACACAAAAATTAGCCGAGCATGGTGGTGCATCCCTGTAATCCCAGCTCCTACTCTGGAGGATGAAGCAGGAGAATGACTTCAACCCAGGAGGTGGAGGTTGCAGTGAGTGGAGGTTGCATCACTGCACTCCAGCCTGGGTGGCACAAGGAGACTCCGTCTCAAAAAATAAAAATAAGAAATGCATAAATATAAATATAATATAACACACGCAAATGACAAAGGGACCTGAATTCCAATCATGATTTTTCTATTTCTCTATAATTACTTCTTTGATCCTTTATCTTATCCATTAGGCAATGAGCCTAAAACCTCTTCCCTATTTGGCTTTCTGTGAGCATGAGATCATATAGAAAATGTGAAAGTCCGCTGAATCCTCCAGCACAGATCCTGGAATAGAGAAAGTGCTCTGGTCATCACAAAAAAAACTTGCCCACTCACCCAAATCCCCCACCTCACCCCTACTTCCAATCACCTGTGGAGATTCAGGTAGACCATGGGGAGGTAAACATTAACACTCCTTGGAGTGAGTCCAGATCTTGGAATCAGAGATCAGCGACAGCACTAGCTCCTGCTCCCCTTTCCTACTAATTCACAGGAGGACAGGTGGTATTGAAGCAATAGATGGCCGAGGGGGTGGTCCTTCCCCCAGCCTCTCGGGTAGAACAGCAGCCTAATATGTGTCTCCCGAGATCACAAAGAGCAGCAGGTTTCACACGGGCTTCAACACTATTTCCTGGCCGTTTGACATAAGAGAATTCTATTTCGCTTTTTTTATCTTGATTTCACTTTTGTTTTCTTTCCTTGGAGAATGCAAGTTGTTTGATTCAAGAATGCTGTGGATGTAGAAACCCTAAAGCACATTCGCTGTGAATCAATCCCAGTCCAGTCTTCCCAGAGAAGACTCTAAACACCTCCTGGACTGCACCTGGGCCTATGCCAATTCCTATCACTCACCGTCACTCCAGGGAGACAGAACACACAGAGAATACGTTACATAGGCAGGTTCATTACTAACAGATAAGCAGCGAGTGACAACAGAAACCTATATTTCAATGTGAGCCAGTCCCTCAAGGCTCAGAAAAGCTCCTCGGGACATATGGAGTCACCCCATTTGCAGTGTAGCTGCGGGAAGCCAGAAAGCAGCCCAGCCTGGGTTTTGTACCCTGGAGCCACAGGAAGCACTCAGCTAAAGCACTGCATGACGTCCTCCAGGAAGAACAGGAAGACAGCCCAGGGTGTTCTGAGACGTTCCTCCTGATCTCAGGAAGTTGCTGTCTTAGGCCATTTTTGTTGCTCTAAAGGAACACTTGAGCCTCGGTAACTTCTAAAGAAAAGAGATTGGTTTGCCTCACCGTTCTGCAGGCTGTACTGGAAGCATGGCACCAGCATCTATTTCTCGTGACGGCCTCAGGCTGCTCCCACTCTGGCAGAAGGGAAGGAGGGTCTGTCTGTGCAGAGACCACAGAGATCACACGGCAAGAGAGGGAGCAAGGGGGAGGGGGAGTGATGGAGCTTCCAAGCTCTTTTTAACAACCAGCTCTCCGGGAACTAATAGAGGGGGAACTTGCTAACCCCGTCTCCTTGGGACAGCATTGATGTGTTCATGATGGATCCACCTCCATGACCCAAACACCTCTCAAGAGGCCCAACCTCCCACAGTGGGGGTGAAATTTCAATGTGAGGTTTGAAGGGGTCAAACATCTCAACTAAAGTAGTCGTATCCTCAGCACGTTCTATGGTTACTATGAGAGCTATAACTGAAAAAGCAGGAGAAAGCTGGGTCTCCTGCCATCTGGGTGCTTGTCCTAAAGAGATGTTTTATGTGGTTACCTGTCAATCAAGAAATGCGAGACAATTCATAAAGAGGAACTGCTAAGATTAGCTTCTTATTGGTGTCTCATCTTCTTCCAGGTAACCCCCGACACCTGCACATTCTGATTGGGACCTCAGTGGTCATCATCCTCTTCATCCTCCTCTTCTTTCTCCTTCATCGCTGGTGCTCCAACAAAAAAAGTAAGTCTCACGAAGCAGAGGCCAGAGAGCTCAGGGCCATGTGGGGAAGCAGGATGGGAGCACTCAGGTGTGTGTTCCTCACAAACAGGATGGTCCCTGGCCCAAGGCAGCAGCCACAGAGGCAGGACTTTCTAGAGAGGGCACCAGACTCCCTGCCCCTGCCTTCAACTCACAGACCGTTGCCTGATTCTGAACTGTATCCTCATGTCCCCTGCAGCCACTCACATCCAGGAGAAGGTTCCATGACAGGCAGAAAGTGGGAGACAGAATCAATGGGATGGGAACTCAGAGCTATTCATGGGATGGGTCCTTGAGCTCAGAGAGATAGAATGTCTGAGTCTGCTGTTGGCAACTGAGGGACCTCAGCCACCTATGGTCTCCCCCTGTATGTTGGTATCTGCTTATGAAATGAGGACCCAGAAGTGCCCTCCGAGCTGTTTTGTTGACTTCCGTCTCCTACAGATGCTGCGGTAATGGACCAAGAGTCTGCAGGGAACAGAACAGCGAATAGCGAGGTAGGTACTCCTCGGCCCGGGCTCGTGGCTACTGTTATTCCCAAAGAGTCCTGGAAAATGTGAGCACCCTCCCTCACTCAGCATTTCCCTCTCTCCAGGACTCTGATGAACAAGACCCTCAGGAGGTGACATACACACAGTTGAATCACTGCGTTTTCACACAGAGAAAAATCACTCGCCCTTCTCAGAGGCCCAAGACACCCCCAACAGATATCATCGTGTACACGGAACTTCCAAATGCTGAGTCCAGATCCAAAGTTGTCTCCTGCCCATGAGCACCACAGTCAGGCCTTGAGGGCGTCTTCTAGGGAGACAACAGCCCTGTCTCAAAACCGGGTTGCCAGCTCCCATGTACCAGCAGCTGGAATCTGAAGGCATGAGTCTGCATCTTAGGGCATCGCTCTTCCTCACACCACAAATCTGAATGTGCCTCTCACTTGCTTACAAATGTCTAAGGTCCCCACTGCCTGCTGGAGAAAAAACACACTCCTTTGCTTAGCCCACAGTTCTCCATTTCACTTGACCCCTGCCCACCTCTCCAACCTAACTGGCTTACTTCCTAGTCTACTTGAGGCTGCAATCACACTGAGGAACTCACAATTCCAAACATACAAGAGGCTCCCTCTTAACGCAGCACTTAGACACGTGTTGTTCCACCTTCCCTCATGCTGTTCCACCTCCCCTCAGACTAGCTTTCAGTCTTCTGTCAGCAGTAAAACTTATATATTTTTTAAAATAACTTCAATGTAGTTTTCCATCCTTCAAATAAACATGTCTGCCCCCATGGTTTCGGTAATGGGACTCTTTTCTTGCCTAAGGCTTCCGGTGTTATCAGTACCATGTCCATATAATCCCATCTGTTCCCCACTGAGTTCTCATCCCCGGACTCTGAGTTTCTGGAAGCAGGGTGGAGCCTCATTTGTCTCTGAGACTCCAATTTCCATCCAAAGATGTAGCACATAGGAGGTTCCAAGGATCACGAATCATATGAACAAGTGATACTCTTACTCTCTGCAGACCTGGAAAGCTGGCAGAGTCATTCCACAATGAAACATTTGTAGAATCATAGGCCTTGTTAGTCTCATCTCCATGGGGACACATATCAACACATCATCTTTCATAATATAAATATACGGTCACTCCTCCATATCTGCGGGGTTTACAGGTGTTTATTGAACCAAGTATAAATCAAAAATATTGAGAGAAAGTATCCACAGAGTTTCAAAAAGCATAACTATGTTGAATGGACACAAATGAAGCTGTGTGTAGGCTGTATCAGGAATTATAAGTAATCTAGAGATGATTTCATGTATACAGGAGGATGTGCATAGGTTATTTGCAAACTCTGTGCCATTTCATATAAGAGGCTTGAGCATCTACAGATTTTGGTATCTGAGTGGAGATCTCAAAACCAATCACCCACGAATAGTGAAGGATGACCGTATATGACTTTTATTTCTCAAATTTAAATATAAATCATAAAAAATGTACAACTAGATAAAAACTAAGAAGTGTTTTTATAGTGTGAGTTAGATTTATTTTTTCCTAGGTGTAACCAATTGGTTTAATATTATTTATTGAGAAGACATTCTATGCCACCTTAAACCACACGGCAGCCTTTGTCAACTCTAAAGGGACTGTGTGTACATGGATGTATTTTAGACACTGTTTCTGCTAAGGGGCTCTCTGTGTCCACACTCTTGATGATGCTGCACTTTATGTAGCCTTATAGAACCCTTTAAATTTAGTAGCCAGAGCCCTCTAATTTGTTATTATAGGCTGTTTGCTTTTTTTTTCTTGAGGCGGAGTCTTGCTCTGTCGCCCAGGCTGGACTGCAGTGACACAATCTCAGCTCACTGCAACCTCCGCCTCCCAGGTTCAAGCGATTCTCGTGCCTCAGCCTCTTGAGCAGCTGGCGTTACAGGTGCCTGCCACCAGGCACGGCTAATTTTTGGATTTTTAACAGAGACACGGTTTCACTATATTGGCCAAGCTGCTCTCAAACTCCTTATCTCAGTTGATCCGCCCACCTCGGCTTCCCAACGTGCTGGGGAAAACTTGATTTTCTATAGCATTATGTTACTGGATATTTCTGTAAAATTTAAAACGAGGGAGGGAGAGAGACAGACAGAGAGCAAACTCCAGAGTTGGGACTCTGGAATCTTGGGTCATGAGACAAATTTTAGATTAAACTACAAAACTCCAGAATTTACAGGTGTGGTTTTTGCTGATAAAGTACAATTCTAAGATTGTAAATAATTGCATAATCCTTCCCTGGGAATTTAAATCATTTTAGCTGGTTCTGCTGTAATACTAGAAATACAAGCATGAAAAATTCTAATGGTTTATTAGTCACAATGACTCCGAAAACATTAATAATACCTATTAGATACTTTGCATATTACACAGGAAGAAGAGTTTGAATCTCAGATAAAAACAAAAAAAATACATGAAAAGTCTTTCATGTTAGCACAGATTTTAGGCATCTCGTGTTCGGATAAAAATACATGAAAAGTCTTTCACGTTAGCACAGATTTTAGGCATCTTGTGTTCGGGAGGTTGGATCTGAGACGTGTTGTGAGTTGGTCATAGTGAAGGACGTGAGGTGCCAATTCTAGTGAGAACAATTTCCAGGAAGCCGTGTTCCGCTCTTGAGCAAGCATCCACTGGGCCTCATGCAAGGTAGAAAGAGCCTGCGTACGTCACCCTCCCATGATGTAGTCAACATGTAAGCTGCATGGGCAGGGCGCCAAATAACATCCTGTGCGCTGCTGAGCTGAGCTGGGGCGCGGCTGCCTGTCTGCACCGGCAGCACCATGTCGCTCATGGTCGTCAGCATGGCGTGTGTTGGTGAGTCCTGGAAAGGAATAGAGGGAGGGAGCGCGGGGATGGAGATCTGGGCCCAGAGGTGGAGATATAGGCCTGGAGGTGGAGTTATGGGCCTGGAGTGGAGATCTGGGCCTGGAGTGGATATATGGGCCTGGAGATGGAGTGATGGGCCTAGAAGTGGAGATCTGGGTCTGGAGTGGAGATATGGGCCTGGAGGTGGAGATATGGGCCTGGAGTGGAGATCTGGGCCTGGAGTGGAGATAGGAACCTGGAGGGGAGATATGAGCCTGGAGTGAAGATATTGGCCTGGGATGGAGATATAGGCCTGGAGTGGAGACATGGGCCTGGAGGTGGAGATATGGGCCTGGAGGTGGAGACATGGGCCTAGAGGTGGATATCTGGGCCTGGAGTGGACATATGGGCCTAGGATGGAGATATGGGCCTGGGTGTGGAGATATGGGCTTGGGGTGGAGATATGGGCCTGGATTGGAGATATGGGTCTAGGGTGGAAATATTGGCCTGGAGTGGAGATATGGGCCTGGAGTGGAGATATGGGCTTGGGGTGGGGATAGGGGCCTGGGGTGCGGATATGGGCCTGCAGGCTGGGTCTCTACACAGCCGACAGCCCTGTTCTTGGGTGCAGGCTGGCACTGAGGGTGAGTTTCCCTTCAGCCCAGCAAGGGCCTGGCTACCAAGACTCACAGCCCAGTGGGGGCAGCAAGGGAGTCCTGGTTTGCCTGCAGATGGATGGTCCATCATGATCTTTCTTTCCAGGGTTCTTCTTGCTGCAGGGGGCCTGGCCACATGAGGGTGAGTCCTTCTCCAAACCTTAGGGTGTCATCTCCCCACATAAGAGGATTTTCCTGAAACAGGAGGGAAGCCCGGTGGGGGATTTTCTTATAAACAAGGATGAGGAGACCCTGGGGTGCTCAGCCCACAGTTCCGACCTTGCCCTCCCCAGCCTTCCTTTCCCTTGGCTGAGTCAGGTTCTGTGGGAACCCGGGAGGGTAGACTGGGGTCCTCCAAGCTGGGCTGTGCGGCTGGGATGTGGTGTCACTGGCAGAGGAAGGGAGCAAAGCAGTGCTAGGAACAGCAGGCCTCTGAGGACAAAGGTGTAACTCACACCCTCCAGCGTTTCCATGACGGTAGGGGCTGCAGTGTGGCTGCTGTCATTCTACCTCAGAGGTGGGGGAACCCCAGCCAGGGCCCTGACCTTCCAAATCCTCTGTTGGGGGCTCAGTTGTGTATTGTGGTTCACACATTGGCTGATATTCCATTCACAAAGAACATGCCCTCGACTCCATGTCTATTTGTGTTGTTTTATGTGAGTAATCTTGCAGGATTAAAATCTAGTAGGAGTCCCTTACTCAGCACTTGCTCAAAGTTCTCAGCTGACACTTTTGTTGTAGAGAGACGCCAAGTCTATGCGGGGTGGGTCCTTCCTGTAGCCCTGGGCACCCAGGTGTGGTAGGAGCCTTAGAAAGTGGAAATGGGAGAATCTTCTGACACGTGGAGGGAGGGGCGGCTCCACATCCTCCTCTCTAAGGTGGCGCCTCCTTCTCCCCCAGGTGGTCAGGACAAGCCCTTCCTCTCTGCCTGGCCCAGCCCTGTGGTGTCTGAAGGAGAACATGTGGCTCTTCAGTGTCGCTCTCGTCTTGGGTTTAACGAATTCAGTCTGTCCAAAGAAGACGGGGTGCCTGTCCCTGAGCTCTACAACAGAGTATTCCGAAACACCGTTTTCATAGGCCCTGTGACCCCAGCACATGCAGGGACCTACAGATGTCGGGGTTCACACCCACACTTCCTCACTGGGTGGTCAGCACCCAGCAACCCCCTGGTGATCATGGTCACAGGTCAGAGGGCTCCTGTCTGGGATTCTCCTTGTCCCACCTCCTGAGTCCCAGAGCTTCTGGTGGGAGTGTCCACCAGCGTCCCATCATCCAGACCCTAACTGTATTTGGGGTAAAAGGGGATTGAATACAGGGAAATGGGTGCTGTGGTGGAAAGAATAATTGTCCCCAATGATGACTGCATTCTAATCCCTGCAGTCTGTGACTATTTATGTTATAGGGGAAGGCACTGAAGGGGAAGATGGAGCTCAGGTTGTTGAGTTGACCTTGAGATGGGGAGACAGCCTGGACTGTCCTGCTGGGCTCAGTGTAATCACAAGGGTGCACATGAGAGGAGAAGGAAGAGGGGAGTGGCGATTAGAGCAGTGCAATGGAAGTCTCCATCAGCTTTGAAGGTGGAGGAAGGCCATGAGCCATGAATGCAGGTGGCCTATAGAGGCTGGAAAAGTCAAGGAACTGATTCTCCTGGGTCTCCAGAGGGAACGCAGCCCTGCAGATGCCTTGATTTTAGCCCTCAAAAAACAGGGTCCGATTTCTGTCTCCAGAAACGGAAGGGGTCAGTGTGCTCTCTCCTGCTGCCATGCTTCTGATAATTTTCTACAGCACCAACAGGAAACCAACACTGGAACCCAGGTCAAGGACAAGATAAGAAAGGACACAAGGATAGCCGGGCGTGGTGGCAGGTGCATGTAATCCTAGCAACTCAGGAGGCTGAGGGCAGGAGAATCACTTGAACCCAGGAGACAGAGGTTGCAGTGAGCCTAGACCACACCACTTCACTCCAGCCTGGGTGAAGGAGTGAGACTCTGACTCCAAAATTAATTAATTAATTAAAGAAACCAAACAAAGAGAAGGTTGGCTACACCGAGATCAGCAAGGGTGGGATGATGATGCCACCACCAGGCTCCATCCACATAGGGAGGGGTTGATACTCCTCAAACCAGCACCAGAAGCCAGCCTATGGAAGCTGGCACCATGGAGAAGGCACAGGCATGGCAAGAGTGGCTCCCAGTCCCCACCAGGAACAGGGTGTGTGGACACTGGTGCCTGCCTTACTGATCAGTTCATACCTTCTGCCAAGGATTCCAATTCGTCCAAAAGAGATTGAACCAGTCTGCTAAGAGCCTGGACGTGCAGCCTATCCTGGTTCCTCTTCCACCCCCACATAGAAGCAGGAAAGACATTAGTTCGAAATAGATACAACAGCCCAAGAGATGAGGCTGAGCCCAGCGGCAAGGGAATCAGGAGCTACTAGAGACAGAGGGACAGAGAAGAGGGAGGGAGACAGATGGAAGGACCTGTACCAGGAGTTATGGGCACAGAAAAGAACATGAAGACACAGAGAGGAAGGAGAGAGATAAGACACCAGCGAGGGGAAGCCTCACTCATTCTAGGTGCCATGGATGGGATGATAAAGAGAGATGCCTTCTAAAGTCACAACCTCTCTTCCTAGGAGTCCACAGAAAACCTTCCCTCCTGGCCCACCCAGGTCCCCTGGTGAAATCAGAAGAGACAGTCATCCTGCAATGTTGGTCAGATGTCATGTTTGAGCACTTCCTTCTGCACAGAGAGGGGAAGTTTAATGACACTTTGCGCCTCACTGGAGAGCTCCATGATGGGGTCTCCAAGGCCAACTTCTCCATCGGTCGCATGACGCAAGACCTTGCAGGGACCTACAGATGCTACGGTTCTGTTCCTCATTCCCCCTATCAGTTGTCAGCTCCCAGTGACCCTCTGGACATCGTGATTACAGGTGAGAGTGTCTGGACATTATTCTCATTGTCACTGGGACACAGAGTGAATGATCCACGACTTGGAGGCCCAGGTGGTTATAAGGAAGATGAGCTTGGTATTCTTATGGAGAGAGACTAATTTGGTGAGGTCTGTACCAACAGAGACAGAGAAACAGGAGACACAAGTACAGACCAGGTGTCATAACAGAGGACAGACACAGGGGCCATACAGGGAGTTAGAAAAGACAGAAAGAGTTAAAGGAGACACAGACAGACATGTGCCAGAGAGAGGTGTCCTTCCATGCTGACTTTGCTCAGAGACCTGGCACAGGTTAGAAGTTTCATTTCTGTTTTACTTCCACAAAGTGTTCTCTACCAGAAGAACCCAAGGACACCCATATTTCTGGCCTGAGTTGGGCCCTGTGGCCTCAGGCCTTCTGGCACCTACAGATGCCGTGTTTATTCTGACACCTCTGCCTTCCATGCAATGGAGAGTAATCGTCCCAGGATATCATGGCCCCAGAGCATCAACCCCTGTATACTGTGTGAACTTGCGGTCCCCAGACTGGATTCTGAGGCTCACATTCCAAATAACCCCACATATGAGAGGATCACTGAGAGACACAGAGAGAAATCAGGGACACCAAAAAGCAAAGACATAAACACACAGAGAATGAGCCAGAGGAAGGAGATTGAGAGACTCACAGACACATAAAGAGGGAGAAAAGAGGGCAGAGAAGTGGAGAGAACAATGGAAGGGAACAGAGAAAAGCACTAAAATTAGAGTCCTGAGGGAGAGGCACAAGGACATAGAAAGATGGAGATGTGGGGATGAATTGCAGAGATTCCAAAGAGAACTAGAGAGACCGAGAGGCAGAGCAAGACAGATGATAGATGGATAGATATAGATAGATGATAAATAGGTAGATGATAGATAATAGGTTATAGATACATAGATGATGATCGATTCATTCATTGATTAATCGATGATACATAGAGATGATGAAGATGAAGATAGATAGATAATACATAGAGATAGAGAGGCAGACAAAGAGAAATCATAGAGAGAGAGAGATGATACATAGATATAGATAATAGATGATTTTTGGATAGACAATTGATAGATAAATAGATTATATATAGATATAGATGACAGGTAGAGAATTTGTAGATAGGCACCAGATAGATAAATAGATATATCGATAGATAATAGATAGAAATATGCAGAAAGTTATGAACAGGACACAAAGTGAGAAACTCAGAATTTAAAAAAAGTAACATCAAGTCAACTAGTCCAAGGAGAGTCAGAGAGAATAAAACAATCCAAAAAGGGAAAACATATCTAGAGGTGAGAAAGTGAGGTCAGAGACCTAGAGAGACAGAGAAGGTGGAAAGAGGAAATAGACATAAAGAGAGATGGTGTGGAGGGTGAGACAGAGAGAGAGAGCATTAGGCCATAGAGCAGGGGAGTGAGTTCTCAGCTCAGGTGGGAGGGGAGTTGTGACAAGGAAGAACCTCCCTGAGGAAACTGCCTCTTCTCCTTCCAGGTCTATGTGGGAAACCTTCTCTCTCAGCCCAGCCGCGCCCCATGGTTAAGGCAGGAGAGAGCGTGACCTTGTCCTGCAGCTCCCGGAGCTCCTATGACATCTACCATCTATCAAGGGAGGGGGAGGCTCATGAACTTAGGTTCCCTGCAGTGCCCAAGGTCAATGGAACCTTCCAGGCCAACTTTCCTCTGGGCCCTGCCACCCACGGAGGGACCTACAGATGCTTCGGCTCTTTCCGTGACTCTCCCTACGAGTGGTCAGACCTTAGTGACCCACTGCTTGTTTCTGTCACAGGTGAGGAAACCAGTCTGTTCCCCAAATAGTGGGACTCAGATGGACTACAATGGCCACATTCAGGGGAGCCTCAGATGGAGGGGGTGGCCATGGGGGTGTCAGCCAGAGATGCTGGACAGAAGAGACACAAAGCAAACATACAGAAAGAGGCATAGACAGACAGACAGAGCGAGGCAGACAGATCACATTAGGGTTTGGGGTGGTAACTGCAACCCTACCTGAAGCTTGCAGATAGAGCACAGGCCACATAAACCACTTCCCAGTCTTTGTACAGAAGCCCACCTGGGACACATGTAAACAGCATCAATGCTGACTCAGGAGCATGAAAGGCCGGGCTCAGATTGGAAAGACTAGAGGTAGCATTGGCCGCCCGCCATTGCCCATTTCCAGAAGCCCCCACCTCTCACCAAAGAGTGATTTCCACATGGGGGGCACAGATGCAACCATCGTTGGGGGAGCCCCAATGTCTCTTGATGGGAGGCATTTTCCACCCTAGATGTTTTTTGCTCTCTCCACACCTTGGAGACTCAGTGGGGGAGTCTTCTCTGGGGACTCGGGGAGGGCCTCCCTGGGACTCGCAGGATTTCCAAGCTAGATGACAACATGACAGGTGGAAACAGGCCCATTCCTTCGCCAGGGGCCCCAAGCTCCATCCCAGGAGATGAGAAGAGGCTCTTCTCATTGGTCAGTGGATCCCTGAGGGGACAGAGGCTCAGCACTGAAGGCTGAGAAGGATCTGCCACTTCGCTCAGTGGCCTCAAGCCAGACATCTTCCCTACAGACTTGCAGTGATTCTCCATCAGCATTTAGGGCTGTGGCCACCAACCTGGGTGTTGGTCTGTAGGAACTTTTCATTTCTGACCTTCCATAACTGAGTTCTCTTCCTAAATGTGGAATGCCTTGTACTCCATGTTACTCTCTCCCCAGAAAGAATGTGTGGCTTGTCTGCTCTCCAGCCCTGTCATGGAGATTGATAATCCTTAGGGAGCAAGAGGAGAGGGAAAGAACAAAGTATGAGACCACCTAGGTGCTACTGGTTGAGGTTCCATTTGCCAGTGAAGGGACTTCACTCAGCCGAGGGGGCAACTCAGGGAAGTCAGCCGAGGGAGGGCATTAGAGTAGAGAGAACTGAGCTCACCCAGTAAATGACCCCTTCACTAACTCATTCATCTAATATTTATTTCACACCTACCATCAGTTCTCTCTGTTTCATGGCCAGGAGTAGACAGCACGGCCAAGCTCCTGGGTTCATGATGCTCACATTGCTGTGGGGTGGGAGAGAGAGGCAGAACATGAATGAATGAATGAGAGAATGAATGAATGAGTGAATGATGGAATGAGTGAATGAATGAATGAATGAATGTATGAATTAGTGAGTGAATCCTTAGCACTTGGTGAAAGTGCCATGCACAGAATGAAATGAATGAACGTGGAACGTTGTCATTTGGAGTGTACAGGAGGGAACGTCTCACTGAGACCTCATCAGAGAGATCACATTTAAACTCCGATCTTAGAGACAAGAGGGAGTGAGCCCTGGGGAGTGTGTTGAAAGGAACTTTCATGGACTTAGGACATTGGGGATGACCCTAATGTGAGAATGAGCTTGGTGTGTTCCAAGAAGTCCATGGACCTGCCATATGGTGAGGGCTGGTCAGAATCCAGAGAGATTTCTAAATGCCCTTGTGCTTGTAAGGAAAGTGAGTCCTGTGGTTGGGAGTGGACTTATACCTTGGGTCAGGTCCAGCAATTATCTTTCTAAATCCTCTCTAATTGCCTGAACCACTTCTATCAACAACTGAGAAAAGAGGAGTGTTAAACACCCCACTGTGGCCGTGGATTTGCCTACCTGTCCATTTATTTCCGCGACTCTTCCTCCATGTATATTTGCAGGAATATTACTGGGAGTGGTTAAGTGTAAACTGATTATATATTCCTGGTAAATTTAAAATGCTATAAATTTACCTGCTTTTTTCCTACATTTTATGCTTAATGTTTTCCGCTGATTTTTCCCAAAGACTAATTTTGTCTAATTTTAATATAGTTATACCACATTTCTAACAGTGATTGCTTGGTATATTTCTACATTGTTTAATTTCAAACTCCATGAATTGTTAACATTGAGATGTGTCCTTTGTAAATTTCAAACAATTCGCCTTAGAAAGTAAGACTTTCTGACAATCTTTTGTTCATGTTTGAGCAGTTCTTCCAATCATATTTTTGTTATTATTACGTTGTGTTTTCCTGATTCCCTTTTTTTCCCACTGACTTCTGTGGTTTTCTATTTCAAACATTCTATTTTTGATCTATGTCGTTTAGGAATACATATATGGTGTACTCATCCTGAAGTTGTTACATATTTTTAAAATTGAAATTAATCATTTCAGAGATTAAACTGCAAATATAAAAACATATTTCCACTCTTCCTGTGTAAGAACAGGATTTTAGAGCATATTTAGTACATATGTTTGTATTTACTTATATGATGTTTTGTTTTGTGGTATACATAATTCTATCTTTTTCAGAAATTACACAGGGGCGTGTTTTCATACACTATCGTATGGTCCATATTCATTTTTGGCATAGCCATATTTTTAGTTCTTCCTCTGCTCTTAGTTATTGTCAGAATCTTCGACACCCCATCTGGTTTCACTTTCTTTATCTTTGAGGCACGGTCATCAGAATTTCCTTTAGGGTCAGTGAGAAAAGCTTTCTTTGCCCTTTTGTCTTTCAGTTCTGTTTCTTTCCTGCGTTGATCTTGGACAGTAACTGTACTATGTAAGGAATTGTCGGTGGCTGGCGACGGTATCTTAGCTGGGTAAAGATGCTATTCTACTGGCTTATGTTTTCCTTTTTTCTGTGGGGAAGACAATGCTTGGCTCCCTATAAATCCTTACCAGCTGATCCTTTTCCTCTGGCTAATTTTAAGGGTTGGTTGTGCTTTTATGCTGCTTTTCTGTAATGTTGAACGTGAGGTGTGTTTACTTCATTCTGCCTGGCATTCACTGGATTTCTTGAACCTGTGGATTGATGGATGTGTCTACTTCCTCCAAATAATCAACAATTGCCTCTTTAAAGATTGCTTCTGACCTGTTTTCTCGTTCTTTCTTTTTGGAACTCAAGTTAGGAGCATTCTAAAACTGTTGTCAATTTTTACCCTGTCACAAAACTGCTCTTTCTTGTTTCAGTTATTTGCTTTTTCTGTGCATTAATATTGATGGTTTCCTCTGTCATAGAGGATAAATACTCTCTTCACTGTTGTGTACACAACATTTTAACTAGTTATTCTGGTTTAAATTTAATATTGACTTTATCTACATATCACAATTGATTACTGTGTACAGACTTTCTTTTCTATTAGTATAAATTTATGAGGTACACTTGTAATTTTGTGACATGAGTATGTTGCAGAGTAGTGAAGTCAGGACTTTTACTATATCCATCACCCAAATACCGTACATTGTACTCATTAAGCAAATTCTCATCACTCACCCACGTCCCGCCACCCTCCAGCCTTCTAGCCTCCGCTGTCCGTCATTCCACACTCTACGTCCATATGTACACATTACTCCCCTCCCATGTAGAGTGAGAAGATGTGGTATTTGTCTTTCTGAGTGGTTTTATGTAAAATAATGGCGTCCAGCTCCATCTATGTTGCTGCAAAAGACATGGTTTTATTTTTATGACCAAATAGTATTTCGTTGTGTATACACGCATCCTTTTTTTAATCCAATCATTCATTCACAGACACTTAGATTGATTTCATATCTTTGCTATTGCAAACAGTGCTGCAATAAACATACAGGTGCAGGTATTTTTTGAGTAGATACCCAGCAGCGGGACCCCTAGATCGAATGGTGCTTCTATTTTTGGTTCTCTGCCAAATTTCCATACTGTCTTCCATAGAGGCTATACTAATTTACATACCGGCCAACAGTGTATAAGAGTTTCCTTTTCTCTGCATCCTTGCCAACACCTGTTATATGTTTCACTTTTTCTTTTTTTCTTTTTGAGATGGAGTCTTCCACTGTCACCCAGGCTGGAGTGCAGTGCCGCCATCTCCACGCGCTGCAACCTCCACCAACCAGGTTCAAATGATTCTCCTGCCTCAGCCTCCTGAGTAGCTGGGATTACAGAACCACACCACCATGCCCAGCTAATCTTTTGTATATTTAGTAGAGATGGGGTTTCACTATGTTGGTCAGGCTGGTCTCAAACTCCTGACCTCATGATCCACCCGCCTCAGCTTCCCAAAGTGCTGGGATTACAAGCGTGAGCCACCACTCCCCACCAGCATTTTTAGTAATAGCCATTCTGACTACTGTAAGATGATATCTCATTGTGGTTTCAATTTGCATTTCTCTGATGATTAGTGATGTTCATACGCTGTTTGGCCATTCGTATGTCTTCTTTTGAAAAATGTCTATGTATATCCCTTTGCCCACTTTTTAATGCTATTATTTGAGGGGTTATGTTTAGTTGTTTGAGTTGCCTAGAAATTCTGGATGTTAGTCCTCTGTTGGGTGCATAGTTTGCAAACATTTCCATTCATTCTGTGGGTTGTCTGTTCACCCTGCTACTATTTCCTTTGCTTGGCAGAAGCTCTTTCGTTTATTAAGTCCCATTGGTCTAGTTTTATTTTTATTGCCTGTGCTTTTGAGGTCTTAGTGATGAATTCTTTGCCCAGACCAATGCCCAGAAGAGTTTCTCTTTGGGTTTCCACCGGTGATTTTATAGTTCTGGATTTACATTTAAGCTGCTAATTACCTTAAGTTAATTTATGTGTATGATTACAGATACAGGTCCAGTTTTATTCTTCTGCATATGGCTATTTAGTTTTCCCAGCACCTTTTATTGAAAAGGAAATCTTTCTCCAGTGTATGTTTTGTTAACGTCGTCAATGATTATTCACTGTAGATATGAGGCTGTATTTCTGGGCTCTCTATTCTGGTCTATTGATCTCTGTTTCTGTGTCTATACCAGCACTGTGCTATTTAAGTTACTATAGCCTTAGAGCATAGTTTGAAGTCAGATAGCGTGATGCCTCCAGGTTTCTACATTCACCTAGAATTGCTTTCTCTATTAGGATCTTTTTTGGTTCTGTATGAATTTTAGGATTGCTTTTTCTAATTCTGTGAAAGCTGGTGTTACTATTTTCATATAAGAATTGCACTGAATCTGTAGATTGCTTTAGGCAGTATGGTCATTTTAACAATATTAATTCTTATGATCCATGAGCGTGGGATTTTTTTTCTTTTTTTTTTTTTGTATTATCTATAATTGCTTTCATTGGTGTCTTACACCTTTCCTGGTACAGCTCTTTCACCACCTTGGTTAAATGTATTCCTGAGTGTTTTAATTTTGCGTATCTATTGTAAACGGCATTGCCTTCTTGATTTGGTTCTCAGCTAGATCATTATAGGTGTAGAGAAATGCTACCGGCTTTTACATATTGATTTTGTATTCTGAAACTTTACTTAGTTCATTTATCAATCATAAGAATTTTTGGCAGGGTCTTTAGGATTTTCTAGATTTAAGATCATAGCATCAGAAATAAAAATAATTTTACTTCCTCTTTTCTAATTTGGATTTTTAATTCTTCCTGTTGCCCAATAGCTCTGACAAGGCTTCCAGTACTATGTTGATAGGAAGTGGTGGATGTCCGTGTCCTTGTCTTGTGCCAGTTCTCAGAGGAGTGCTTTTAACTTTTCCTGTTCAGTATGATGTTGACTCTAGATATGTCATCTATGGCTTTTATTATTTTGAGGTATGTTCTTTCTATGCCTAAGTTTTTGAGGGTTTTCATCAGGTAAGGATGTTGAATTTCTTTTCAGATGCTTTTCTTTATGTCTATTGAGATGATCATATGGTTTTTGTTCTGGATTCTGCTCGTTCTTCTAAGTGGATGAGACATGCCAGAAAAGCATTTAGTCAGCCATCTTGGAAACAAGCATCTCAGATGTTTTCTTTCTCTATAGCTCATTCTTTCTTACCAGTGTTTTCAATTTTGTACTTAATTTTGTAAAGAGAGTAAATGATATAATTTCCACATATGTTTCCTCTGCCAAATCAGACTCACTATGCTTCCTTTCCTTGTATGCATAACCTACCCAGCAATACACACAAACATTTATTGCTTTGGAGAATTAGTTTGGGAACATTTTTGAAATGTACAAAAAAATGTATATCTTCAAAAGAAATTTCTTTTTGTGGCAAAAGACTTCTGAAGGTGCTCATGATGATATAGGGAGAAGAGGGGTTCTGGACAGGAAGAATTTTATGAAGGTGAGATGGGGAAATAGCTCCATTTCAGAGCTTCTGGGGAGAGAGGGGCCTGGCCCACATGGAAAGGTCTCTGATCTTACCCCCACCCTCCAGCCCCTGTTCTCCAGAACTATACTGTGGAGAGTTCCATCAGGATTGTTGTGGCTGGTCTGGTCTTCCTGGCTCTTTTGGCAATGCTGGCTAAGACCTGGTGGAGACATGAGGGGCCACAGGTGGAAATGGAAGAAACATGACTGAAGCTGGCTGGAGTGAATGGCGCGACATTCTGTCTGTGGGAGATTGGCCAGATGGGTTTCAAGTGTGTTGTATCAGCTGTGACTTTTAGTAATGTTCTTGCTACCACAATATCCACTCGTCCATCCCGAATAATTGTGATGAAATATTGTCCTTGGGATAATATTCATTTGCTAAAGACAGGGATGATACCTCAAGGTGCCACTATATACATCGAGGGGATCCACAAAAGTCCATTCAGTAAAATGTAGTTGGCATCTTAGGGTAGGTTGATTCCACCTCTAAAAAAGTAGGTACAACATCAGGTTGATTTTTCCGAAGAAAAGTGGTGATTGGCCATCTTTAGTCTCAATGTAAACGGTAATACTGATGAGTGTGGAAAAGGCAGGGAAGAGGATTGACAATAAGTGACACTCATTGTTTTCATCTGAGCTTTGAGACTGAAAGAGGAACACAGGAGTGAGATGTATGGGAACAAACCCCTTCTTTTTCCAGCTAAACAGAGTGGAAGTTGGACACTGAGTTTTGGCGTACAGCAAAATCCTAAGTCCATTGTTGGGTTGAACACGGCCATGTTGTACATCCTGGTTTCACAGCAGACACTGGAGGAAAACAGCCTGTATTCATAAGAGGCTGTCCCTCGGGTCACTGCCCAGAATATCCGGAGTTGGTGCTCACAGGGTTGGGAACTCTCCTGGACCAGACAGGCTCTGGATATGGGGGGGTACCAAGCTCCCCGGGGCCATGCCTCCACAGCTCTCTTCTCACCTCATTCTTGACCATTTCCCAAACCTCTGACCTCACCTTCATTCATCCATGGTGAACACGCTAAAGCTGGCCTTCAAAGCTTGAGACAGAGGAAAATTGGGCTTCATCTCTGGGAACTAAATTGGGGAGTGGAGACTCAGTTCTGGCCTGACAGGAGGGAGAAGACCCTGGATCCCAGTGTGGATGGGAAGAAGTATGTGTTTCTCTTTTGTGCTTGGACCCTGTGTCCAAGCATGTCTGAGATGTGATGAAGATGAATCTTCCTTTCCTTGTCTATTTTCTCATGCCAGAGAATTGGAATCTTATATTCCATTAACTCTTTCTGTTCTGTTCATCCAGATTCTATGAAGGAGAAAGGAAAAGATGTGATACTGTAATTTTGCTCCATTTGTCTAAAATGAGTAGGCTGCAACTCCTCTTGAAGTGATACCTTTTCTAGCTCTTGTTGGAGGTGTCTCAGGACTCATTACTTCGGGGAACCTGCAACTGTGTCAGTCTGGGGAAACTGCAAATATTCTTGTCTTACATTTGTCTCCAGCCAATTGTGATGGACTCCAGTGACCTGCAATTGCTGTTATTGCAGGTAAAATGTACCTGAGTCAGGCCACAGTTCTCCTGGACTATGAGCCCCTGGCCATGTTCCTGAGGCAATTCTGTTCATCTAAATATAATAATAATAACACACTAAAAATGGCAAGCCATTGTTAATTCCTGAAGTCTCATTTGAAAATTACTAAATGTCTGTTATTTTTTGGTGTTTACATTATATGTAGACAGATAAACTACACACACACACACACACACATGCACACAGAAGAATGGATTGGTTCATGTAGAAAAGTAAATAATTCAAGATGAAAGGATGAAATGTCATGGCACCTACTATTCTATTTTAGATAAAGGGTCTATGAAAAGATTGATTTCTTTTTATGTTTTATTTGTTGACATTTGAACACAAACTATGTAAGTGAGGGAGTCGATTTGAAAGGGAGAAGAGCAAGTTCAAACACATTCAGGTGAGGTCATGCTTTACATGTTTTAATTGAAATGATCCATCTTGGGAGTAGATCAATAACTGAGATGGTGCCAGGAATGTTAAAAAGCTTTTGTCAGTCCTAAATATTGACAAATAAAATTTAATTAAAGTCTTAGAAGAAAACACAAAGGAAAACTTCACAACATCGGATTTGGCAGTGATTCTTTAGATGTGACAACAACGGCACAGGCTACTACAGAAAAAATAAACAAGTTAGACTTTATGAAAATTTTGAAATATTGTGACTCAAAAGACAACATCAGTTACTTCACATGGCAAGGAAAAAGAACTTTTAAGACGATATTATCAAAGTAAAAAGACAACCCACAGAATGGGAGAAAATGTTTTCAAACCACACCACCTGTAAGGGATTAACATCCAGAATATACAGACAACTCCTAAAACTCAATCACAATAAACTCAATTCAAAAATGGGCAAAGTACTGAAACAGACATTTCTCCAAAGAACATACGCATGACAAGATATTCAGCATCACGAATCATTAGGGAAATACTAACTAAAACTACACCAGATGCCATTTCATACCCCTTAGGATGGGTATCATCAAAACAACAACAACAACAACAACAACAAAGTTTCTATACATTAACAACAAACTATCCAAAAAAGTTTACAAGAAAATAAGCCCATTTGCAATAACTACAGAAAACAAAACATGCAGGAATAAATTCACCCAAGGAGTAGAAAGATCTGTATGCAAAAGCTATAAAACATTGATGAAAAAACTCAAGAAATAAACAAATAAATCGAAAGATATTCCATGTTCACGGATCAGAAGGATTAATGTTGTTAAAATGTCCATTCTATCCAAAGTGATTCAATGCAACCATTATCAAAAATCCAATGACATTTTTTTTTACAGAAATAGAAAAAACAGTCCTAAAATTCATGTGGAACCACAAAAGATCTCAAATAACCAAAGCCATCTAGAGGGAAAGGAACAAAGTTGGAAGCATCACATTACCTAAACACAAACTACATTACAAAGTTACAGTAATTAAAACAACACAGTACTTGCATAAAAACAGACACATAGACCAATGGAAGTGATTCATAGCCCAGGAAAAAAAATGCACGCATTTAGGGTCAAACAATTTTTGGGATGTATCAAGAACACACAATGGAGAAGGAACAGTCTCTTTAATAAATGGGATTGGGAGACATGCAGAAGAATGGAAGTGGACATTTGCCTCACAAAACATACAAAGTCAACTCAAGATAGATTAATGACTTAAATGTAAGGTGAAAGACTATCATCCCAGCAATTTGGGAGGCCAAGGCGGGCAGATCACCTAAGGTCAGGATTCCAAGACCAGCATGGCCAACATGGTGAAATCCCGCCTCTACTAAAAATACAAAAACAGCTGGGTGTGGTTGTGGGTGCCTGTAATCTCAGCTACTCGGGAGGTTGAGACAGGAGAATCACTTGAACCCAGGAGGTAGAGGTTGCAGTGAGCCGAGATCGCATCACTGCACTCCAGCCGGGGCAACAGAGTGAGACTCCATCTTAAAAAAAAAAAAAACTACTAAAAGAAATCAAGGGAAAACTCCACTGGCTTGGGCAAAACCATTTTGGATATTAACCCAAAGGCCCAGGCAACAAAAGCAAAAGTAGACAAATAACATTATATCAAATTGAAAGTTTCTGCAAAGAAAAAAAAAAACTCAACAAGTGGAAAGACAACCTATGGAATGGGAGAATATATTTGCACCCATACATCTAATAAGGAATTAATATCCAAAATATATAAGAAACTCAAACAACTCAATGGTAAGAAATCAAATAACCCAACTTAAAAAAATGGGCAAAGTATCTGAATAAACATTTCTAAGAATAAGACAAATCACCAAAAGGTATATGAAAAAATGATTAGCATTACTAAACATCAGCTAAATAAAAATTAAAACTAGAATGAGATATCACCTCACACCTCTTAGAATGACCATTAACAGTCTGGGCATGGTGGCTCATGCCTGTAATTCAGGCACTTTGGGAGGCCGAGGCAGGGAGATTACCTGAGGTCAGCAGTTCGAAACCAGCCTGGCCAATATGGTGAAATCCCATCCCTACTAAAAATACAAAAATTAGCAGAGTTTGGTGGCGCACACTTGTAGTCCCAGCTACTCTGGAGACTGAGGCAGGGGAATCGCTTGAACCCAGGAGGCAGAGGTTGCAGTACACCGAGATTGTGCCACTGCACTCCAGCCTGGGTGACAGAGCAAGACTGAGTCTCAAAAAAAAAAAAAAAAAGACCATTATCAAAAACATAAAAAATAACAAGCATTAACGAGGATGTGGAGAAAAGGGAACATTTGTATGCAGTTGATGGGAATGTAAATTAGCACAACCATTATGGAAAACAGTCTGGAAGTTCCTGAAAAAATTAAACATAGAATTCCCATATGTGTCTGCAATCCAACTACTGCGCATGTATCCAAAGGAAGTGGAATCAGTATGTTGAAGAGATATCTGCATTCCCATGTTTACAGCCGCATTATTCATAACAGCCAAGATGTGGAATCACCCTTACTGCCCATCTATGGGTGCATGGACAAAGAAAACGTGGTATACGATAGGAACGTAATGAAGTACTATACAACCTTTACAACAAAGAAGGAAGTCCTCTCATTTGTGACAATGTGAAAAAACTTAGAGGACATTATGTTAAGGGAAACAATCCAGGCACAGAAAGACAAATGCCACATGATCTCATGTGTGGAGTGTAAGAAGTGGAACCTAGAGGAACAGTAAAATGGTCGTCGAAAGAACCTGGGAAGGAGAGAGATTGAAGAGATGTTGGTCAAAGGATGCAAAATTTCAGTTAGAAGAAATCGGTTCAAGAGATCTATTGTATGTCTTGGTGACTCCATTTAATAGCAACATATGGTGTATTGAACATTACTAAGAGATTAGATTTTACATGTTCTCACCACACACACAAAACATACAAGTATGTGAAAAAATAAATAGATAAAGAGGTTGTTTCATCCATTCCACAATGTGTACCTATATGAAAACATCATGATGGACACCACAAATACCCTTTTCCTCATTAATTAAATTTGTTTTGGCTTTTTTTTTGAGACGCAGTTTCACTGTTGTTGCCCAAGCTGAGGTGCAATGGCGTGATCTCCGCTCACTGCAACCTCTGCCTCCCAGGTTCAAGCGGTTCTCCTGACTCAGCCTCCCAAGCAGCTGGGACTACAGTTGCGTACCACCCCGTCCGGCTATATTTGTGTTTCTAGTAGAGACAGGGTTTCGCCATGTTGGCCAGGCTGGTCTCGAACTCCAGACCTCAGGTGATCCACCCGCTTCGCCCTCCCAAAGTGCTAGATTTCAGGCTGAGACACCACACCCAGCCTGTACATTGACTTTCTGCCCTTAAACTGTGCTGAAGTTTGTTTCTCAGATGTAGGAGCCTTTGGGCAGAGACTATGGGGTTTCTAGGTATAGAAATTATCTCATCTTCAAACAGAGGTAATTTGACTACCTCTCTCTGCTACTCTCTTCTTACTTGGATGCCTTATAATTCTTTCTCTTTCCTGATGGCTCTGTCTAGGACTTCAAGTACTATGTTGAATAGGATGGTGAGAGTGGGCATTCTTGTCTTGTTTCACTTATGAAGGGAACTTCTTCCAGCTTTTACTCATTCAGTATGATGTTGGTTGTGGGTTTGTCATAGGCGGCTCTTATTATATTGAGTTATGTTTCTTCAATGCTTAGCTTGTTGAGGGCTTTTAACATGAAGAAATGCTTAGTAAAAAGTATGTTCTACATGTGTGTTGAGAAGATCATGTGGTTTTTGTTTTTAGTTTTGTTTAGGTGATGAATCACATGTATTGATTGTGTATGTTCAACCAACCTTGCACCCTAAGAATAAAGTTGACTTGATCATGGTGGATTCACTTTTTGATATGCTGCGGGATTCAGTTCTTAGTATTTTTTGTGGATTTTTGCATCTATGCTCATCAGGAATATTGGCATGTAGTTTTCTTTTGTTTAATATTCTTTTCTGTCTTTAGTATCAGGGTGATGCCAGCCTTATAGAATGAGTAAAGGCCACCCTGGGCAAACAGTGAGACCCATCCCTTTTTAAAAATTATGAGTTTTACAAATTTAAAATGCATAGTGAAAAAGTTCTTACAAACTCCAGAAAGGTAGGTGTAAATAAGAGACATTTGTAAGAATGACAGCACATTAAATGTGTAGATTTCAACCTTCAGTTATTGCAATATTCCAGTATCAAGTTGGAGGATGTTATCAGTCTGATATTTTTTCCTCAAATGAGAGAGAGAAAGAAAGACACACAAACAACACAGGGAGAAAAAAAGCACACGTTACAGAGAGACAAAAAGGGAGACAGGGAACTGTGAATTTGGACTCTTGTGTCATAAGACAAATTCTAGATAACACGACCAGACCTTCAATTGACATATTGTGTTTTTGCTAATAAGGTGGAATTCTATGATGCGAAATAACTATATAGTCTTTTCTACTGGGATTTAAATCATTTTATCTGTTTCTGGCTTAACAGGAAAAATACAACCATGGAAAATTATGATGATTTATTTAATACGATTGCTCTATAGTGTTAATAAAACCTATTAGGTATTTTGCATATTACATATCAAGGAGAGTTTGAATCTCAGGTAGAAACAAAAAAAAATACATCAAAAGTTCCTCATGTGAGTGCAGAATTCAATCGTCCCGTGCAGGGGTAAGTGAGTCTGAGATGTGTTTTGAGCCTGGCCGTTGCGCATGATGTGAACTGACAAGTCTAGTCTGCAGTTTTCAGAAACCCTCATTCCTCCCTTGACTGACTCACCACTTGAACCTCATATGACGTAGAAGAAGCCTACCTATGTCCCCTTCACATGTTGTGGTCAATGTGTCAACTGCACGATCCGGGCCCCTCACCACATCCTCTGCACCGGTCAGTCGAGCCGAGTCACTGCGTCCTGGCAGCAGAAGCTGCACCATGTCCATGTCACCCACGGTCATCATCCTGGCATGTCTTGGTGAGTCCTGGAAGGGAAGGAGCACCAGGGTTACACTATGGGCCTGCAGATTGGGTGTCTCCCCAGCAGAGAGCCATGTTCTGAAGCAAGTGAGTGGTGAGGATGAGTTAATTTTCAGTCCAGCGTGGCGCCCAGTGGCTCAGGAGGAAAGGGTAGGTTGGTGCCGAGATGAATAGTTCATCATGATCTTTCTTTGCAGGGTTCTTCTTGGACCAGAGTGTGTGGGCACACGTGGGTGAGTCCTTCCCCAAATGATGGGTTGCCATCTTCACCCCAATACAAGTGAATTTTCCGGAAATGGGAGGGAGGCAGCACAGAGGGTGGGCTGATGGGCTGACCATGGGAAGGCCTGGGGGGAGTCTCTCATGAACTAGTAAGAGGAGATCCTGGGAGTCTCTCATGAACTAGTAAGAGGAGATCCTGGGAGTCTCTCATGAACTAGTAAGAGGAGATCCTGGGAGTCTCTCATGAACTAGTAAGAGGAGATCCTGGTATGCTCAGCCCTCTGTTTTGTCTTAGCCCTCCCCAGCCTTTCTTCCCCATGGCTGAGTTGAGCTCTGTGTGGCCCAGGCGGGATACTGAGGTGCTCAAAGCTGGGGTGTGTGGGGGGATGTGGTGTCACCGACAGAGGAGGGAAGGGTAGCAGTGTTAGGAACAGCAGGTCCTCTGAGGACAAGAGGGTAACTCACACCCTCCAGCGTTTCCATGACGGTAGGGGCTGCAGTGTGGCTGCTGTCATTCTGCCAGAAGAGGTGGGGGAACCACAGCCACGACCCTGCCATTCCAAATCCTCTGATGGAGCTCAGTTGTTTATTGTGGTTCAGGCATTAGCTAATATTCCATTCACAAAGGTCATACCCTCCACCCCATGTCTACTTTGTGTTGTTTGGTGTAACTAATCTTGCAGTATTAAAATCTAGTAAGAGTCCCTTACTCAGCACCTGCTCAGTTCTCAACTGACACTTTTGTTGTAGGGAGACGCCACGTCTATGCGGGATGGGTCCTTCCTGTAGCCCCAGGCACCCAGGTGTGGTAGGAGCCTTAGAAAGAAGAAATGGGGAGAATCTTCTGAGCACAGGGAGGGAGGGGCAGCTCAACATACTCCTCTCTGAGGCGGCATCTCCTTCTCCCCAAGGTGGTCAGGACAAGCCCTTCTGCTCTGCCTGGCCCAGCGCTGTGGTGCCTCAAGGAGGACACGTGACTCTTCGGTGTCACTATCGTCGTGGGTTTAACATCTTCACGCTGTACAAGAAAGATGGGGTCCCTGTCCCTGAGCTCTACAACAGAATATTCTGGAACAGTTTCCTCATTAGCCCTGTGACCCCAGCACACGCAGGGACCTACAGATGTCGAGGTTTTCACCCGCACTCCCCCACTGAGTGGTCGGCACCCAGCAACCCCCTGGTGATCATGGTCACAGGTCAGAGGGCTCCTGTCTGGGCTTCTCCTTGTCCCACCTCCTGAGTCCCAGAGCTTCTGGTGGGGGTGTCCACCAGAGTCCGATCATCCAGGCCCCAACTATATTTGGGGTAAAGGGGGATTGAATACAGGGGAATGGGTGCTGTGTTGGAAAGAATAACTGTCCCCATCGATGGCCACATTGTAATCCTTGGAGCCTGTGACTATGTTATAGGGCAGGGGACTGAAGGGGAAGATGGAGCTCAGGTTGTTGATGAGTTGACCTTGAGATGGGGAGATGGCCTGGACTCTCCCACTGGGCTCAGTGTAATCACAAGGGTCCATATGAGTGGAGAAGGAAGAGGAGAATGGGGATTAGAGCAGCATCGTGGGATACTCCACCAGCCACTGTGGGCTTTGAAGGTGGAGGAAGACCACGAGCCACGAAGGGGCTGGAGAAATCAATGGAACTGATTCTCCCGAGTCTCCAGAGGGAATGCAGCCCTGCAGATGCATTGATTGTAGCCCAGGAAGAACAGGGTCTGATTTCTGTCTCCAGAAGTGGAAGGGGTCAGTGTGTTCTCTCCTGTCGCCATGTTTGTGATAATTTTCTCCAGCAACAACAGGAAACCAACACAGGAACCCAGGTGAAGGACAAGTTAAAAAACCAAACAAGAAGGTTGGCTACCCTGAGATCAGCAAGGGTGCACTGCTGATGCCACCACCAGGCTGGAACCACATAGGGAGGGATCGACAGGAAGAGTTGGGGGTGGAGGGTGAGAGAGAGAGAGAGAGCACTAGGCCATAGAGCAGGGCAGTGAGTTCTCAGCTCAGGTGGGAGGGGAGCTGTGACAAGGAAGAACCTCCCTGAGGAAACTGCCTCTTCTCCTTCCAGGTCTATATGAGAAACCTTCGCTTACAGCCCGGCCGGGCCCCACGGTTCGCACAGGAGAGAACGTGACCTTGTCCTGCAGCTCCCAGAGCTCCTTTGACATCTACCATCTATCCAGGGAGGGGGAAGCCCATGAACTTAGGCTCCCTGCAGTGCCCAGCATCAATGGAACATTCCAGGCCGACTTCCCTCTGGGTCCTGCCACCCACGGAGAGACCTACAGATGCTTCGGCTCTTTCCATGGATCTCCCTACGAGTGGTCAGACGCGAGTGACCCACTGCCTGTTTCTGTCACAGGTGAGGAAAGCCAATGTCTGTCCCATGTCCTATGGTCCTAGAGCCTTAGCTGAGGAGCTTCCTGCTGATGATGGAGAGAAGCATGGACAGATGTGGAGAGAAGATGCAGCATGGTGTGAGGGTGGGATCAGGGCACAGGATGGCAGACAGGGCACCTCCAAACCCTCCTGCATGGCCTGCATGGAAGCTTGCAGTAAGGGCTCCGGGTACCCAGGCAGATGGAGAAAGTGGTCAGGACAGACCCAGAGGAGGGAGACTGGGCTCAGTTTGGGGAGATCAGAGGTTCCCTCAGCCCCTCAACCTTACCCATTTCCCAGAAGCCCACCCTGGCCTCTCACCTACACAGAGATGTCATCACCAGCAACCCCTACACTTTTTCTTTTCCTTTGAAAAAATGCTGATTGAGGTTAAATATACCTATATAATTTATCAACTTTACCATTTTTAAGTGTAAAATCTAGGGATCATAAATACCTTTATATGCTGTGTGCGGTGGCTCACGCCTGTAATCTCAGCATTTTGAGACGCCAAGGCAGGTGGATCATTTAAAATCAGGGGCTGGAGACCAGCCCGGCCAACATGGGGGAACCAATCTTTACTAAAAAGACAAAAAAAATAAAATTAGCCAGGCATGGTGCCAGGCGCCTATAATCCCAGCAACTTGGGAGGCTGAGGCGGGAGAGTGGCTTAAACCCAGGAGGAGGAGGTTGCAGTGAGCTGAGATCATGCCACTGCACTGCAGCCTGGTGACACAGAGAGACTCTGTCTCTAAATAAATAAATAAATAAATACTTTTATATTCTTCTTTTGTTACCCTCCACCCCTTCCTTCCTAACCTCTGGTATCCACCATTCTACTCTCTACCTTCATGAGGTCCACCTTTTACATCCTGCATGTGAGTAAGAAATGGCAATCCTTGTAATGACCTCTAGTCCATCCATGTGGCTGCAAATGACAGGACGTTACTCTTTCTATGGATGAGTTGTCTCCATTGTGTGTATGTACTACATTCTCTCTATCCATTCATCCACTGATGGGCAGGTAGGTTGACTCCACATCTTGGCTACTGTGAACAGTGCTGGAACAGTCATGGGAGTGCAGATGTCACTTCAATACACTGAAGTCCTTTTCTTTGCATTTACACCCACTAGTGGAATTGCTAGATCCTCTGGATGTTCTCTTTTTAGGTTTTGTTTTATGCTTTTTGTTTTTTTGACATAGCGTTTCACTCTTGTTGCCCAAGCTGGAGTGCAATGGCACCACCTGGGCTCACTGCAACCTCTACCTCCAGGATTCAAGTGATTCTCCAGCCTCAGCCTCCCGAGTAGTTGGGATTACTGGTGCCCGCCACCAAGCCTGGCTGATTTTTGTATTTTTAGTAGAGACGGGGTTTCACCATGTTAGCCAGGCTGGTCTCGAACTCTTGACCTCCAGTGATCTGCCCACTTCAGCCTCCCAAGGTGCTGGGATTACAAGCGTGAGCCACAGTGCCTAATCTCTTTTCAGTTTTTAAGGAACTTCCATATTCTTCTCCTCTGTAATGGCTGTATTAATTTACATTCCTATCAACAGTGTATCAGGGTTCTCCTTTCTCCACCACCTTGCCAACATTTGTTTTGTCTGTCTCTGAGATAAAACCCATTGTAATGGGGTGAGATGATAGCTCATTGTGACTTCATTTGCATTTCTCTGATGATTAGTGATACTGAGCACTTTTTCATATATGCAATGTATATATGTTCATTTGTATGTTTTGTTCATTGAGAAATGTCTGTTCAGGTCTTTTACTAATTTTATAATTAAATTATTAGTTTTATTGAGGTGTTTGAGCTTCTTTTATATTCTAGTTATTAATCCCATCTCAGATGCATAGTTTGCAAATATTTGCTCCCATTCTGTGGGTTTTCTCTTCTTCACTTCATTGGTTGCTTCCTTTGCGGTGCAGAAGCTGCTTGATTTGATATAATCCCAATGGTCTATTTTTTTTGTTGTTGTTGTGATTACTTGTGTTTTTGAGGTTTTAAACAAAATGTCTTCCCTCAGACAAATGTCCTGGAGCATTTCTCCAGTGTTTCCTTTTAGACATTTAATGGATTCAGGTCTTAAGTCATTAATCCATTTTCATCTGATTTTTGTGTATGGTGAGAGGTAGAGGTGCAGTTTCATCCCTCTGCATGTAGATATCCAGTTTTCCCTGCACCATTTATTGAAATGACTGTCCTTTCCAGATTGTAGATTCTTCGAACCTTTGTCAAAGTCCATTGGATGTAAATGGGTGGATTACATCCGTGTTCTTCATTCTGCTTCATTGTTTTATGTGCTTTTCTTTATGCCAATGTCATGTTGTTTTGCTTACTACAGCTCTGTAACATATTTTTAAGTCAGGTAGTGTGATGCTCCTGTTTTCTCCTTATACCTTGAAGTCTCAAGATAGTTGGTGTCACCTACAATGATTATGGAGAATGGGATGCCAGGACTCCCAGGGCCCAACATTAGATAATAGAAGGTTGGCCATGAACCAACCTCAAAGATTTCCATTGAGTAGAAAAGACAGGCATCCTCATTGCCACACCTCTCTCCTGTCCCATGTTCTAGGAAACCCTTCTAGTAGTTGGCCTTCACCCACTGAACCAAGCTTCAAAACTGGTAAGTGAAGGACCCCTCTTATCTCTGCTTTTGGAAACCTGGGGAGGTAGAAGCCTTGGATTCAAGCGTTGGCTCAGCACCTGCCAGCTCTGTGATTGTGGGCCTGTCTTCCATTGTCTCTGAACCCCAGACACTCCAACAGCGAAAGGGATCTGGGCCCAGCACAGGGCTCAGTGAAATCTCTTAATCTCTAATTTTCTGCTGCTGAGACCTCAGGGTAGAAGGATGAGTGCAAATCAGACATTCTTCTCAGGAAAAATGCTGTGTTTGTTCTGCCTGCATTCCTAACTGGGAGGACAAATGCCTGGGGGCTTGAGAAGGGGAAGGAAGGGGAACATTTTTGAGGGTGGTGTGTTTGTAGAGAAGTTCTACTTGCCAAGGAATGAGCTCCTGTCTGTCATGATCCAACCCTGGTTGACTTAGTGGAACAAGAGCTTTGCGGTAAGAGAGAACGTAGTTCATCCGTGCACATGACACTTCCACTTACTCGTTCAGCCACTGCCCCATGCTCAGACTGTGCAGTGTGGAACTTTTTCCTATGTTGCCATAACAAATTTCCACAAGCTTCGTGGATGGAAACCACATTTTTAAAAAATATCTCATGGTGCTGTAGCTCAGAAGTATGAAATGCATCATCTCACTGGGCTAAAATCAAGGTGACAGCAAGGCTGCCTTCCCTCTGAATGTTCCAGGCAAGAATCTGCTTCCTCACTTTTCCCAGCTCCTAGAGGCTCCCACATTCCTTGGCTCCTGGTCCCCGTCTTCCTCCCTCAAAGTCCACAAAGGCTGGTCACGCCTCTCACACGGCATCACTCAGACCCTTCTTCCTTGTCCACACCTCTTTCTCTGAATGCTGCTCTGCCTTCTTCCTCATCTTTTAAGGACTTTGGCATTCTATTGGAAACACCAAGATAATCCATCATAATTTCCCTAAAATCATCTAGGATACCCTCCTTTTAAGGTTAGCTGATTAGCAACCGTAATTCCATCTGCAATCTGCATTCCTTTTTTCCATGTAAAATAACATATTCACAAGATATGGCGACTAGGACAGGAACATTTTGGGGTGGGGCGGCATTCTTATCCTTTCCACAAATGGTAAACAAGGTGCATTTGGCCTCTGCTCTTGGACACTGATATTGCAAAGGATTAAATGGGAGGGCAGAAAATGAATACACCAGTGGACCAATAAATGAATGATCCATTGGGAAGCATCTGTGCATGAGAATGATTGATTGATTGGTTGTTTTTATGAGACGGTGTCTCCCTCTGTGCCCCAGGCTGGAGTGCAGTGGCGGGATCTCGGCTCACCGCAACCTCCACCTCCCAGGTTAAAGCGATTCTCTACACTCAGCTTCCCGAGAGGCTGGGATTACACCCATGTCCCACCACGCCTGGCTAATTTTTTTTTGGTATTTTTTTTTAGTACAGACAAGGTTTTACCATGTTGCCCAGGCTATCTCAAACTCCCAACCTTAAGGGATCCGCCCGTCTCAGCCTCCCAAAGTGCTGAGATTAGAGGCGTGAGCCAAGGCGCCGAGCCGTATTTTAAAAGAAATAATAGATAATGCTGAGTGTATAATTTCGGGTGACAGAGAAGTTCTCACTGATCAAATAATACTTGTGACCTTAATGAAAAAAATAGATCAACCCCTGGAAGATTGGCGGAAGGATTTTCCACACAGCTGTCAGCCGTGAAGGCACAAAGGTGAAAACAATGTTATGTGGAAGGAAGAGGCTCTGCCTGAAATGCTGGGAATGACATGGGGAGAATGACAAGACGACTGTGGAGAGACAGAGAGCACTCTGGGTACACAGGAAACTAAGGAGGAACAAGGAGCGTGTGTTTGATACTCACAGCCATTGGACTTACCTCGGGGCTAACTGGGAATCCCTACATGATGAATAGTGACTGACATGAAAATAAGGGAGGCCCAGGTGCATAACTGGAATCTAGGAGACTGTGGAAAAGGCAATTCCCGCCCCCCTGGTGAAATGTGGTGCTGATTTAGACACTAAATGAATGAAAGATGGACACAAGATGTGTTTGTGAGGTAGAGTAATTTGCAGGGAGGGCTTGCCTGGTTTGATTTTTCCTAATTGTTTAATCTTCACTTCATTGATTTCTTTCTGAGATTTATTTTTCCTACATGTAAATCAATACTTGGCAGAGGAGTGAGAGATACATGAGGGGTGGTGCAAAGGAAGAGACCTATTATAATATAACACACAAGGTTCTGAACGGTGGCTCACACCTGTAACCCAACATTTTGGGAGGCTGAGGAGGCTGGATCAAGTGAGATCAGGAGTTCGAGATCAGCCTGGACAACATGGTGAAACCCCATCTCTACAAAATATACAAAAACTAGCTGGGGGTGGTGGCGCGTGCCTGTAATACCAGCTATTCAGGAAGTTGAAGAAGGAGAATGGCTTCAACCAGGGAGGGAGAGGTTACAGTGAGCCAAGATCGCGTCATTGCACTGCACCCTAGGTGACAGAGTGAGACTCCATGGCAAAAAATAAAAATAAAGAATACATAAATATAATATAACATACACGAATGACAAAGGCACACCAATTCCAATCATCATTTTTCTATTTCTCTATAATGACTTCTTTGATCCTTTATCCTATCCATAAGAAAATCAGGCGAAAACATCTTCCTTATTTGGCTTTCTGTGAGCATGAGATCATATGGAAAATGTGAAACCCACCAGCACAGGTCCTGGAATAGAGAACGTGATCTGTTCATGGCACAAAACTTGCCCCTTCACCCAAATCCCCCACCTCACCCCTACTTCCAATCACATTAATGATACAGATAGATCATGGGGAGGTAAAAACTAATATTCTTTGGAGTTCAGATCGTAGACTCAGAGACCAGTGCCAGCACTATCTCCTGGTCACCTTTTGGAGTAATTCACAGAAAGACAGGCTGTATTGAAGCAACAGATGATGGAGGGGGTGGTCTTTCCCCCAGACTCTCGGGTGGAACAGCAGCCTAATATCTGACTCCCAAGATGACAAAAGTAGCATGTTGCCCACGAGCTTCATCATTATTTCCTGGCTGTTTGATATAAGACAGCTCAACCTCACTTATGTTGATTTCAATGTCACTGTTTTTTCCTTTTCTTGGAGAATGTAATTTGTTTGAGTCAAGAGGGTTGTGGATGTAGAAACTGTAAAGCACATTCACTGTGTATCAATCCCAGTCCAGTCTTCCCAGAGAAGACTCTAAACACCTCCCATACTGCACCTGGGCCTGTGCCAATTTCTATCACTCACCATCACTCCAGGGAGACAGAACACACAGGGAATACATTACATAGGCAGGTTCATTACTTATAGATAAGCAGCGAGTGACAACAGAAACCTTCCTTTCAGGGTGAGCCAGTCCCTCAAGGCTCAGAAAAACTGCTCAGGACACATGGAGTCACTTCATGTGCACTGTAGCTGGGGGAAGCCAGAAAGCAGCCCAGCCTGGGTTTTGTACCCTGGAGCCACAGGGAACACTCAGCTAAAGCACTGCATGATGTTCTCCTCCAGGAAGAACAGGAAGACAGCCCAGGCTGTTCTGAGACGTTCCTCCTGATCTCAGGATGTTGCTGTCTTAGCCTATTTTTGTTGCTATAAAAGAACACTTGAGCCTGGGTATCTTCTAAAGAAAAGAGATGTGTTTGGCTCACTGATCGGCACGCTGTACTAGAAGCAGGACACTACCATCTATTTCTGGCTGCGGCCTCAGGCTGCTCCCACACTGACAGAAGAGAAGGGGGTCCTGCGTGTGCAGAGACCACAGAGATCACATGGCAAGAGAGGGAGAAAGGGGGTGTGATGGAGCTTCCAAGCTCTTTTTAAGAATCAACTCTCCAGGGTACTAATAGAGGGAGAACTTGCTAAACCCGTCCTCTGGGGACAGCATTAATCTATTCATGATGGATCCACCCCCATGACCAAAACACCCCTCCCAATAGGCACAACCTCCCACACTGGGGATTAAATTTCAAAGTGGGGTTTGGAGGGGTCAAACATTGAAACAATAGCAGTTGTATCATCAGCACATTCTATTGTTATTATGAAAACTATAACGGAGAAAGCAGGAGAAAGCTGGGTCTCCCGCCTCGTGGGTGCTTGTCCTAAAGAGGTGTTTTATGTGGTTGCCTGGCAACCAAGAAATGAGAGACAATCCACAAAGAGGAACTGCTATGGTTAGCTTCTTATTGGATTCTCATCTTCCTCCAGGTATCGCCAGACACCTGCATGCTGTGATTAGGTACTCAGTGGCCATCATCCTCTTCACCATCCTTCCCTTCTTTCTCCTTCATCGCTGGTGCTCCAAAAAAAAAAGTAAGCCTCACGAAGCAGAGGCCAGAGAACTCAGGGCCCTGTGCGGAAGCAGGATGGGAGCACGCAGGTGTGTGTTCCTCACTGGCAGGAAAGTCTCTGGCCCAAGGCAGGAGCCAGAGGCAGAGCTTTCTAGAGAGAGCACCAGACACCCTGCCCCTGCCTTCAGCTCACAGACCATTGCCTGATTGTGAACTGTATCCTCACGTCCCCTGCAGCCACTCACATCCAGGAGAAGATTCCATGACAGGCAGAAAGTGGGAGATAGAATCAATGGGATGGGAACTGACAGCTATTCATGGAATGGGGTCTTGCACTCAGAGAGATGGAATGTCTGAGTCTGGCTGTTGGCAGCTGAGGGACCTCAGGCACCTATGGCCTCCCCCTGTGTGTTGGTATCTGTTCATGAAATGAGGACCCAGAAGTGCCCTCCCAGCTGTTTTGATTGCTTCCGTCTCCTACAGATGCTGCTGTAATGAACCAAGAGCCTGCGGGACACAGAACAGTGAACAGGGAGGTAGGTCCTCCTAGCCCAGCCTCATGGATACAGTCTTATTCCCTAATAGTCCTGAAAAATGTGAACACCCTCCCTCACTCAGGATTTCCCTCTCTCCAGGACTCTGATGAACAAGACCCTCAGGAGGTGACATACGCACAGTTGGATCACTGCATTTTCACACAGAGAAAAATCACTGGCCCTTCTCAGAGGAGCAAGAGACCCTCAACAGATACCAGCGTGTGTATAGAACTTCCAAATGCTGAGCCCAGAGCGTTATCTCCTGCCCATGAGCACCACAGTCAGGCCTTGATGGGATCTTCTAGGGAGACAACAGCCCTGTCTCAAACCCAGCTTGCCAGCTCTAATGTACCAGCAGCTGGAATCTGAAGGCGTGAGTCTCCATCTTAGAGCATCACTCTTCCTCACACCACAAATCTGGTGCCTGTCTCTTGCTTACCAATGTCTAAGGTCCCCACTGCCTGCTGCAGAGAAAACACACTCCTTTGCTTAGCCCACAATTCTCTATTTCACTTGACCCCTGCCCACCTCTCCAACCTAACTGGCTTACTTCCTAGTCTACTTGAGGCTGCAATCACACTGAGGAACTCACAATTCCAAACATACAAGAGGCTCTCTATTAACACGGCACTTAGACACGTGCTGTTCCACCTTCCCTCGTGCTGTTCCACCTTTCCTCAGACTATTTTTCAGCCTTCTGGCATCAGCAAACCTTATAAAATTTTTTTGATTTCAGTGTAGTTCTCTCCTCTTCAAATAAACATGTCTGCCTTCATTCTTTAGGTGACTCTTTTTTTGGCTGAAAGTTTCCAGTGTTATCATTACCATGTCCAAATAACTCCAACTGTTCTCCACTGGGTTCTCACCCCTGGACTCTGAGCTTCTGGAAGCAGGGTGGAGCCTGATTTGTCTCTGAGACTCCAATTTCCATCCAAAGATGCAGCACATAAGAGGTTCCAAGGATCGTGAATCACATGAACAAGTGATATTCTTACTCTCTGCAGACCTGGAAAGCTGGCAGAGTCATTCCATGATGAAACATTTGTAGAGTCATAGGCCTTGTCAGTCTCATCTCCACGGGGACACATATCAACACATCATCTTTCATACTATAAATATACAGTCGGTCCTCTGTATCTGTGGGATTTACAGGTGTTTATTGAACCAAATATAAATCAAAAATATTCAGAGAAAAAATCCACAAAGTTTCAAAAAGCAAAACTATGTTGAATGGACACAAATGAAGCTGTGTGTAGGCTGTATCAGGAATTATAAATAATCAAGGGATGATTTCATGTACACAGGAGGATGTGCATGGGTTATTTGCAAATGCTGTGCCATTTCATGTAAGAGGCTTGAGCATCTGCAGATTGTGCTATCTGAGTGGAGATCCTGAAACCAATCACCCACGAATAGTGAGGGATGACTGTATATAATTTTTATTTCTCAATTTTAAATATAAAACATAAAAAAATTACAATAACAAGATAAAATAAACAAGTGTTTTATAGTGTGAGAATACTTTTAGATATATTTTTCTCCATGTGTAACCCTTGGGCCCATGTTATTTATTGAGAAGACATTCTATTCCACCTTAAACCACATGGCAGCCTTTGTCAACTATAAAGGGACTGTGTGTACACGGATGTATTTTAGACACTGTTTTCTGCTCAGTGGCTCTCTCTCTGTCCACTCTCTTGAGAATGCTGCATTTTATGCAGCCTTATACAACCCCTAAAATTTGGTAGCTGGAGTCCTCTAGTTATTTATTATAGGCTATTTGCTATGCTTTTTTTATTTTTCTTGAGGCAGAGTCTCGCTCTGTTGCCCAGGCTGGAGTGCAGTGGCACGATCTCGGCTCACTGCAACTTCCGCCTCCCAGGTTCAAGGGATTCCGTGGCTCAGCCTCTTGAATAGCTGGCATTACAAGTGCCTGCTACCAGGCATGGCTAATTTTTGTATTTTTAGCAGAGACATGGTTTCACTATATTGGCCAGGCTGGTCTCAAACTCCTGACCTCGGTTGATCACTCACTTCGGCTTCCAAAGTGCTGGGGAAATTGATTTTCTATAGCATTATGTTACTGGATATTTCTGTAAAATTTAAAATGAGGGAGGCAGAGAGACAGAGAGAGAGCAAACCATGAGTTGGAACTCTGGAATCTTGGGACATGAGACAAATTCTAGATAAATCTACAAAAATCCAGAATTTACATGTTGTGATTTTTGCTGATAAAGTACAATTCTAAGATTGTAAATAATTGCATAATCCTTCCCTGGGAGTTTAAATCATTTGAACTGGTTCTGCTGTAATACTAGAAATACAATCATGAAAAATTCTAATGGTTTATTAGTCACAATTGCTCTGAAAACCTTAATAATACCTATTAGATATTTTGCATATTACACAGGAAGAAGAGTTTGAATCTCAGATAAAAGCAAAAAAAATACATGAAAAGTCTTTCATGTTAGCACAGATTTTAGGCATCTCGTGTTCGGGAGGTTGGATCTAAGACGTGTTTTGAGTTGGTCATAGTGAAGGACGCGAGGTGTCAATTCTAGTGAGAGCAATTTCCAGGAAGCCATGTTCCGCTCTTGAGCGAGCACCCACTGGGCCTCATGCAAGGTAGAAAGAGCCTGCGTACGTCACCCTCCCATGATGTGGTCAACATGTAAACTGCATGGGCAGGGCGCCAAATAACATCCTGTGCGCTGCTGAGCTGAGCTGGGGCGCGGCCGCCTGTCTGCACCGGCAGCACCATGTTGCTCATGGTCGTCAGCATGGCGTGTGTTGGTGAGTCCTGGAAGGGAATCGAGGGAGGGAGTGCGGGGATGGAGATCTGGACCTGGAGGTAAAGATATGGGCCTAGAGGTGGAGTTATGGGCCTGGAGGTGGAGTTATGGGCCTGAAGTGGAGATCTGGGCCTGGAGTGGAGATCTGGGCCTGGAGTGGAGATAGGGGCCTGGGGTGGAGATATGTGCCTGGAGTGGAGATCTGGGCCTGGAGTGGAGATATGGGCCTGGGGTGGAGATATGTGCCTGGGGTGGAGATATGGGCCTGGAGGGGAGATATGGATGGGCCTGGAGGGGAGATGTGGGCCTAGAGGTGGAGTGATGGGCCTAGAAGTGGAGCGATGGGCCTGGAGTGGAGATATGGGCCTGGAGGTGGAGTTATGGGCCTGCAGTAGAGATATGGGCCTGAAGTGGAGATATGGGCCTGGAGTGGAGATATGGGCCTAGAGGTGGAGTTATGGGCCCGGAGGTGGAGTTAAGGGCATGAAGTGGAGATCTGGGCCTGGAGTGGAGATATGATCCTGGAGTGGAGATATGGGCCTGGGGTGGAGATACGGGCCTGGAGCAGACATACAAGCCTGGAAAGGAGATATGGGCCTGGAGAGGAGATAGAAGCCTGGAGTGGAAATATGGGCCTGGAGTGGAGATATGAGCCTGGAGTGGATATATGAGCCTGGAGTTGAGATAGGAGCCTGGAGTGGAGATATGGGCCTGGAGTGGACTTATCAGCCTGGAGAGGAGATATGGGTCTGGAGTGGAGATACGGACCTGGAGTGGAGATCTGGGCCTGTTGTGTAGATCTAGGCCTGGAGGTAGAGATCTGGGCCTGGAGGCTGAGTCTCTGCACAGCCGAGATCCTTGTTCCTGGGGGCAGGTAGGCAGCGAGGGTGAGTTTACCTTCAGCCCAGCAAGGGCCTGGCTGCCAAGACGCACAGCCCAGTGGGGGCAGCAGGGTGCCCTGGTTTGCCTGCAGATGGATGGTCCATCATGATCTTTCTTTCTAGGGTTCTTCTTGGTCCAGAGGGCCGGTCCACACGTGGGTGAGTCCTTCCCCAAACCTTAGGGTGTCATCTCCCCACATAAGAGGATTTTCCTGAAATGGGAGGGAAGTCCTGTCGGGGAGTCTCTCATAAACTAGGAAGAGGGGACCCTCGGATGCTCGGCCCACATTTCTGACCTTGCCCTCCCCGGCCTTTCTTTCCCTTTCCTGAGTCAAGCTCTGTGAAGACTGGGGTGAGACTAGGGTGCTCCAAGATGGGTGTGCAGGGAGGAAGTGGTGTCAGCAGCAGAGAAAGAGAGGGAAGCAGTGCTAGGAACAGCAGGTCCTCTGAGGACAAAGGTGTAACTCACACCCTCCAGCGTTTCCGTGATGGTAGGGGCTGCAGTGTGGCTGTGGTCTTTCTACCAGAAAAGGTGAGGAAACCACAGCCATGGCCCTGACATTCCAAATCCTCTGATGGGGGCTCAGTTCATCAATTGGCTGATATTCCATTCACATAGGACTTGCCCTCCATGCCGTGTCTACTTTGTGTTGTTTTATATGAGTAATTTTGCAGTATTAAAATCTAGTAAGAGTTGCTTCTCCAGCACTTGCTCAAAGTTCTCAGCTGACACTTGTTGTAGGGAGACGCCATGTCTATGCAGGATGGGTCCTTCCTGTAGCCCTGGGCACCCAGGTGTGGTAGGAGCCTTAGAAAGTGGAAATGGGGAGAATCTTCTGGGCACTGGGAGTGAGGGGCGGCTCCACATCCTCCTCTCTAAGGCAGTGCCTCCTTCTCCCCCAGGTGGTCAGGACAAGCCCTTCCTGTCTGCCTGGCCCAGCGCTGTGGTGCCTCGAGGAGGACACGTGACTCTTCGGTGTCACTATCGTCATAGGTTTAACAATTTCATGCTATACAAAGAAGACAGAATCCACGTTCCCATCTTCCATGGCAGATTATTCCAGGAGAGCTTCAACATGAGCCCTGTGACCACAGCACATGCAGGGAACTACACATGTCGGGGTTCACACCCACACTCCCCCACTGGGTGGTCGGCACCCAGCAACCCCGTGGTGATCATGGTCACAGGTCAGAGGCTTTCCGTCTGGGCTTCTCACTGTCCCACCTCCTGAATCCCAGAGCTTCTGGTGGGGGTGTCCGTCAGGGTCCCATCACCCAGGCCCTGACTGTATTTGGGGTCAAGGGAGATTGAATACAGGGGAAATGGGTGCTGTGGTGGGAAGAATCACTGTCCCCAATGATGGCTACATTGTAATCCCTGGAGCCTGTGACTATTTATGTTACAGGGCAGGGGACTGAAGGGGAAGGTGGAGCTCAGGTTGTTGATGAGTTGACCTTGAGATGGGGAGACAGCCTGGACTGTCCCACTGGGCTCAGTGTAATCACAAGGGTCCACATGAGAGGTGGAGGAAGAGGGGAGTGGGGATTAGAGCAGTGTAGTGGGAGGGAGACGCTATCAGCCACTGCGGGCTTTGAAGGTGGAGGAAGACCACTAGTCACAGAATGCAGGTGGCCTCTAAGGGCTGGAGAAGTCAAGAGAACTGATTCGCTGATTCTCCAGAGGGAACGCAGCCCTGTAGACACCTTGATTTCAGCACAGGGAGAACTGGATCCAATTTCTGTCTCCAGAAGTGGAAGGGGTCAGTGTGTTCTCTCCCGCTGCCATGTTTGTGGTAATTTTCTGCAGCAGCAACAGGAAACCAACACAGGAACCCAGGTCAAGGACAAGTTAGGAAACCAAACAAGGATAGCCAGATGTGGTGGTGGGCGCGAGTAATCCAACGACTGGGGAGGCTGAGGCAAGAGAATCACTTGAACTGGGGATTTGTTCAAAAGAGATTGATTCAGGCTGCTAAGAGCCTGGACATGCAGCCTCTCCTCTTCCACCCCCACATAGACAGCAGGAAAGAGATTAGTGGGAAACAGATACAACAGCCCAAGAGATGAGGCTGTCTTCACAGTGGCAAGGGAGTCAGGGGCTACTGGAGACAGAGGGACAGAGAAGAGGGAGGAAGACAGATGGAGGCACCTGCACCAGGGGATATGGGCACAGAAAAGACACGGAGATGCAGAGAGGGAGGAGAGAGACAGACACGGGGAGGGGAACCCTCACTCATTCCAGGTGCCATGGATGGGATGATAAAGAGAGATGCCTTCTAAACTCACAACTTCTCTTTCTAGGAAACCACAGAAAACCTTCCCTCCTGGCCCACCCAGGTCCCCTGGTGAAATCAGGAGAGAGAGTCATCCTGCAATGTTGGTCAGATATCATGTTTGAGCACTTCTTTCTGCACAAAGAGGGGATCTCTAAGGACCCCTCACGCCTCGTTGGACAGATCCATGATGGGGTCTCCAAGGCCAATTTCTCCATCGGTCCCATGATGCTTGCCCTTGCAGGGACCTACAGATGCTACGGTTCTGTTACTCACACCCCCTATCAGTTGTCAGCTCCCAGTGATCCCCTGGACATCGTGGTCACAGGTGAGAGTGTCTAGACATTGTTCTCATTGTCACTGGGACACAGAGTGAATGATCCAGGACTTGGAACCCCCAGGTGGTCATGAGGAAGATAAGTGTGGGATTCTTATGGAAAGAGAGTGACTTGGTGAGGTCTGTACCAACAGAGACAGAGAAACAGGAGACATAAGTACAGAACAGGTGTCATAACAGAGGACAGACACAGGGGCCATACAGGGAGGTAGAAAAGAGAGAAAGAGGTAAAGGAGACACTCAGACAGACAGACATGTCCCAGAGAGAGGTGTCCTTCCATGCTGACTTTGCTCAGAGACCTGGCACAGGTTAGAAGTTTCATTTCTGTTTTACCTCCACAAAGTGTTCCTACCAGAAGAACCCAAGGACACCCATATTTCTGACCTGAGTTGGGCCCTGTGGCCTCAGGCCTTGTGCCACCTACAGATGCCGTGTTTATTCTGACACCTCTGCCTTCCATGCAATGGAGAGTAATCATCCCAGGATATCATGGCCCCTGAACACCAACCCCTGTATGCTGTGTGAACTTGGGGTCCCCAGACTGGATTCTGAGGCTCATATTCCAAATAATCCCACATATGATAGGATCGCTGAGAGACACAGAGAAAAATCAGGGACACCAAAAAACAAAGACATAAACACACACAAAATGAGCCAGAAGAAGGAGATTAAGAGATTCACAGACACATAAAAAGAAAGAAAAGAGGGCAGAATGGAGAGAATGATGGAAAGGAGGAGAGAAAAGCCCCAAAATCAGAACCCTGAGGGAGGGACACAAAGACAGAGAAAGATAAATATGTGGGGATGGATTGCAGAGATTCCAAATAGAACTAGAGAGACTGAGAGGCAGAGAAAGACAAGGAGACGGAGAGAGAGAGATGATAGATGGATAGATAGACGTAGATAGATGATAAATAGGTAGATGATAGATAATGGATTGGTTATAGATACATAGATGATGACTGATAGATGATACATAGAGATGACGATGATGATGATAGACACATAGATATATACATAGATGATACATAAATAGAGACAGAGAGGCAGACAGAGAGGTAATAGAGAGAGAGATAGATGATACATATATAGATAATAGATGATTGATGGATAGATAGACAGATAGACAATTGATAGAGAGATAGATAAGTGATACATAAATATAGATGATAGATAATTTGTAGATAGACACAAAATAGATAAATAGATAGAAATGTGCAGAAAGTTATGAACAAGACAGAAAGTGAGAGACTCAAAATTAAAGAAAAAGGAAGATCAAGTCAACCAATCCAAGGAGGGTCAGAGAGAATAAAACAATCCAAAAAGGGAAAACATACCTCAGGGTGGGGAAGTGAGGTCATAGACCTAGAGAGACAGAAAAGGTAGAAGGAGGAAACAGATATGAAGAGAGATGGGGTGGAGGGTGAGAGAGAGAGAGAGAGCATTAGGTCATAGAGCAGGGGAGTGAGTTCTCAGCTCAGGTATGAGGGGAGCTATGACAAGGAAGAACCTCCCTGAGGAAACTGCCTCTTCTCCTTCCAGGTCCATATGAGAAACCTTCTCTCTCAGCCCAGCCGGGCCCCAAGGTTCAGGCAGGAGAGAGCGTGACCTTGTCCTGCAGCTCCCGGAGCTCCTATGACATGTACCATCTATCCAGGGAGGGGGGAGCCCATGAACGTAGGCTCCCTGCAGTGCGCAAGGTCAACAGAACATTCAAGGCAGATTTCCCTCTGGGCCCTGCCACCCACGGAGGGACCTACAGATGCTTCGGCTCTTTCCGTCACTCTCCCTACGAGTGGTCAGACCCGAGTGACCCACTGCTTGTTTCTGTCACAGGTGAGAAAAGCCCATATCTCTCTCATGTCCTATGATCCTAAATCCTTAGCTAAGGAGCTTCCTGCTGATGATGGAGAAAAGCATGGACAGATGCAGAGAGAAGACACAGCAGGTGTGAGGGCGGAGTCAGGGCGCAGGATGGCAGACAGGGCACCTCCAAACCCTCCTTCATGGCCTGCATGGAGGCCTCCGATCAGGGCTCCAGGCACCCAGGCAGATGGAGAAAGCGGTCAGGACAGACCCAGAGAAGGGGAGACTGGGCTTAGTTTGGGGAGATCAGAGGTTCCCTCAGCCCCTCAATCTTATCCATTTCCCAGAAGCCCATCATGGCCTCTCACCCACACAGAGAGATATCATCACCAGCAACCCCTACACCCTTTTCTTTTCATTTTCAAAAATATTTATTGAGGTTAAATGTAACTATATAATTTACCACCTTTACCATTTTTAAAAGTAAAATCTAGTGGTCATAAATACCTTTATATGCTGGGTGTGGTGGTTCACGGTTGTAATCTCGGCGCTTTGAGAGGCCAAGGAAGGTGGATCATTTAAGATCAGGAACTCGAGATCACCCTGGCCAACATGTGGGAAATTCATCTTTACTAAACAGACAAGAAAAATTAGCCGAGCATGCTGGCATGCACCTGTAGTCCTAGCTACTTGGGAGGCTGAGGCAGGAGAAGCACTTAAACCCAGGAGGCAGAGGTTGCACTGAGCCGAGATCATGCCACTGCACTGCAGCCTGGGAGACAGAGAGAGACTCTGTTTCTAAATAAATAAATACATCTATATTCTTTTTTTTGTTACCCTCCACCCTTCCCTTCCTGGCCTCTGGTGTCCACCATTGTATTCTCCACCTTCATGAGATCCACCTTTTATCTCCTGCATGTGGGTGAGAAATGGGAATCTTTGTAATGACCTCCAGTTCCATCCATGTGGCTGCAAATGACAGGATGTTATTGTTTCTATGGATGAGTAGTCTCCACTGTGTGTGTGTACCACAGTTCTCTATCCATTCACCCACTGATGGGCAGGTAGGTTGACTCCACATCTTGGCTACTGTGAACAGTGCTGGAACAGTCATATGAGTGCAGATATCACTTCGATACACTGATGTCCTTTCCTTTGGATATAAACCCAGTAGTGAAATTGCTGGACACTATGAAAGTTCTCTTTTTTTTTTTTTCTTTTTTGAGAAAGAGTTTCCCTCCTTAGTCCAAGCTGGAGTCTAAGTGGTGAGATCTTGGCTCATTGCAACCTGTGCCTCCTAGGTTCAAATGATTGTCCTGACTCAGCCTCCCTAGTAGCTGTGATTACAGGTGCACGCCACCATGCCTGGCTAATTTTTGTATTTTTTTAGCACAGACGGGATATCCCAATTTTGGGCAGGCTGCTCTCAAACTCCTGACCTCAAGTGAGGTGCCTGCCTCGGTTTCCCAAAGTGCTGAAGTTACAGGCATAAGCCACTATGCCCAGCCTCCTTTTAGTTTTTTAAAGAATTTCCATACTTTTCTCCATAATAGTTGTACTAATTTACATTCCTACCAACAGGGTACCAGGGTTCTCCTTTCTCTACCATCTTGCCAGCATTTGTTTTGCCTGTCTTGCAGTAAAAGCCATTTTACTTTACTTTATTTTATTTATTTATTTATGTTGAGATGGAGTTTCACTCATAGTCTCCCAGGCTGGAGTGCAAGGGTGTGATCTCAGCTCACTGCAACCTCCGCCTCCCGCGTTCAACTGATTCTCCTGCCTCAGCCTCCAAAGTAGCTGGGATTACAGGCATGTGCCACCACGCCTAGCTAATTTTTGTATGTTTAGTAGAGAGGGAGTTTCTCCATGATGGTCAGGCTGGTCTCCCGACCTCAGGTGATCCGCCCACCTCCGCCTCCTGAAGTGCCGGAATTACAGGCGTGAGCCACCGGCCTAAAAGGCATTTTAATGGGATGAGATGAAAACTCATCGCGATTGTAATTTACATTTCTCTGATGATGAGTGATGCCGAGTACTTTTTCATATACGTGATCGCCATTTCTATGTTTTGTTTGTGGAGAAATGTCTCCTCATGTCTTTTGCTCGTTTTTTAATTAAATTGTTTTATTGAGTTGTTTGAGCTTCTTATATTTCCAGTTATTAATCCCGTCTCAGATGAATAGTTTGCAAATATTTGCTCCTATTTTGTCGGTTGTCTCTTCACTTTCTTGGTTTATCTTTTGTGGTGCAGAAGTTGCTTGGTTTGATGTAATCCTAATGGTCTATTTTTTGCTTTGATTACTTGTGTTTTGAAGGTTTTAAACAAAATGTCTTTCGTCAGACAAATGTCTTCCCCATTATTTTCTTCTACATGTTTCATAGGTTCAGGCCTTAGACTCATGTTTTTAATCCATTTTCATTTGATTTTTGTGTATGGTGACAGGTATAGATGCAGTTTTATTCCTCTGCATATAGATATCCAGTTTTCCCCACACCATTTATTGAAAAGACTGTCCTTTCCTGATTGTAAGTTCTCGGCACCTTTGTCAAAGTCCATTAAATGGGCTGGGTATGGTGGCTCACACCTGCAATTCCAGCACTTTGGGAGGCCGAGGCGGGTGGATCACCTGAAGCCAGGAGTTCAAGATCAGGCTGGCCAACAGAGTGAAACCTCGTCTCTACTAAAAATACAAAAATTAGCTGAGCATGGTGACCAGTGCCTGTAATACCACTACTCGGGTGTTTGAGGCAAGAGAATTGCTTGAATCCAGGAAGTGGAGGTTGCATTGAGCTGAGATTGCACCTCTGCACTCCAGCCTGCATGACAGAGCAAGATTCTAACACACACACACACAAAAAAAGCCATTGGATGTAAATGCATGGATTATATCTGTGTTCTCCATTCTGTTTCATTTTTTATGTGCCTTTCTTTATGCCAATGTCATGCTGTTTTGCTTACTACAGCTCTGTAACATATTTCTAAGTCAGGTAGTGTGATGCTCCTGTTTTCTCTTTATACCTTCAAGTCTCAAGACAGTGGGCATCGCACACAAAAATTATGGAGAAGAGGATCCCAAGACTCCCAGGGTCCAACATTAGATAACAGAGTGTTGGCCATGAACCAACCTCAAAGATTTCCATTGAGTAGAGGACAAGCACCCTCATTTCCTCACATCTCTCCTGTCCCATGTTCTAGGAAACCCTTCAAGTAGTTGGCCTTCACCCACAGAACCAAGCTCCAAATCTGGTGAGTAAAGGACCCCTCTTATCTCTGCTTTTGGAAACCTGGGGAGGTGGAAGCCTTGGATGCAAGTGTTGGCTCAAACCTCCCAGCTCTGTGAATGAGGGCCTGTCTTCCACCATCTCTGAACTCCAGACACTCCAACAGTGAAAGGGATCTAGGGCCACCAAAGGACTCAGCGAAGTCTCTTAACCTTTAATGTCCTGCAGGTGAGACCTCCTACAAGCTAGAAGAATGATTGCCAATCTGACATCCTTCTCAGGAAACATGCAGTGTTTTTTCTTCCTGCATTCCTAACTGGAGGATAAATTCCTGGGGACTTGAGAGAGGGAAGGGAAGGGAACATCTGATGAGGGCGAGGTGTTTTAGAGAAGTTCCACTTGCCAAGGAATGAATTACTGTTGGTCATGAAGCAACCCTGGCTGACTCAGCAGAGCAAGAGCCTTGCCGTAACAGAGAACAGAGCTCATGCACGCACACTTCGACTCACTGACTCATTCAGCCACGGCCCCATGCTCAGGCTGTGCAGTTGGAATCCTTTCCTATTGTTGCCATAACAAATTTCCACAAGATTCGTGGGTGAAAACAAAACGGTTTTTTAATTATCTTACAGTGCTGTAGCTCAAAGTAGGAAGTGCATCTTACTGGGCTAAAATCAAGGTGACAGCAAGGCTGCCTTCCCTCTGAGGATTCCAGGCAAGAATCTGCTTCTCACTTGTCCCAGCTTCTAAAGGCTCCCAGTTCCTTGGCTCCTGGTCCCCTTCCTCCTTCCTCAAAGCCCACAAAGACTGGTCACATCTCACATGGCATCACTCAGACCCTTCTTCCTTACCACACCTCTTTCTCTGAATGCTGCTCTCCCTTCTTCCTTATCTTTTGAAAACTTGGGGATTCTATTGGGTTCACCAAGATGAAAATCCATCATAATCTCCCGGAAATCATTCAGGATACCCTTGTTTTCAGTTCAGCTGACTAGCAACCGTAATTCCATCTGCAATCTTCATTCCTTCTTTCCATGTAAAATAAGATATTCACAAGCTATGGAGGCTAGGACAGGGACATTTTGGGGTGGGACAGCATTCTCCTGCCTTCCACGAACGGTGAACAAGATGCATTTGGCCTCTGCTCTTGGGACACTGATATTGCAGATGGTTAAATGGGAGGACAGAAAATGAATGCACAAGTGGACCAATAAATGAATGATCCATTGGGAAGCATCTGTGCATGAAATCTATTTGTTTGTTCGTTCATTTATTTATTGAGACAGAGTCTCCCTCTGTCTTCCAGGCTACAGTGCAGTGTCACGATCTTGGCTCACTGCAACCTGCGTCTCCTGGATCCAAGTGATTCTCCTGCCTCACCCTCTCGAGTAGCTGGGATTACAGGCAACTGCCACCATGCCCGGCTAATTCTTTTTGTATATTTTTTGTAGAGAGGATGTTTCACCATGTTGGCCAAGCTTGTCTGAAACTCCCAACCTCAAGTGATCCGACCATCTCAGCAACCCAAAGTACTGGGATTACAGGCGTGAGCCACTTTGCCCAGCCAGAATTCAAAATAAATAATAGATAATGCTGAGTGTATAATTTTGGGTGACAGAGAAGGTCTCACTAATCAGATATTTGTGACATTAATGAAAAACACGGATTGAACCCCTGAAAGATTGGCGGAAGGATTTTCCACACACAGCTGTCAGCCGTGAAGGCAGAAAGCTGAAAACAATCTGATGTGGAAGGAAGAGGCTCTGCCTGAAATGCTGGGAATGAGGTGGGGAGAATGACAAGACGACTGTGGAGAGACGGAGAGCACACTGGGTACACAGGAAACTAAGGAGCAACAAGGAGTGTGTGTTTGACACTCACAGCCATTGGATTCACCTCGGGGTAGCCAGGAATCCCTACATGATTAATAGTGACTGACATGAAAATAAGGGAGGCCCAGGTGCGTAACTGGAATCTAGGAGACAGTGGAAAAGGCAATTGCCGCCCCACTGGTGAAATGTGGTGCTGATTTAGACCCTAAGTGGATGAAGCAGATGGATATAAGCTATGTTTGGGAGGTAGAATCATTTGCAGGGAGGGCTTGCTGGGTTTGAGTTTCCTAGTTGTTTAATCCTTGCTAAATTAATTTCTTTCTGAGATTTATTCCTCCTACACATAAATCAATACCTGCCAAAGGAGTGACAGATATATGAGGGGTGGTGGAAATGAAGGGACCTATTATAGCATAGTATACAAGTCTGTGAACGGTGGCTCACTCCTGTAACCCAGCACTGCAGGAGGCTAAGGCCAGTGGATTCCAAGAAGTCAGGAGTTCGAGACCAGCCTGGCCAACATGGAGAAACCCTATCTCTACATGGTGAAACCCTATCTCTCCTAAAAATACAAAAATTAGCCGAGCATGGTGGTGCATCCCTGTAATCCCAGCTCCTGCTCTGGAGGATGAAGCAGGAGAATGACTTCAACCCAGGAGGTGGAGGTTGCAGTGAGTGGAGATCGCATCACTGCACTCCAGCCTGGGTGACACAAGGAGACTCCATCTCAAAAAATAAAAATAAGAAATGCATAAATATAATAAAACACACACGAATGACAAAGGCACCTGAATTCCCATCATCATTTTTCTATTTCTCTATAATTACTTCTTTGATCCTTTATCTTATCCATTAGGCAATCAGCCTAAAACCTCTTCCGTATTTGGCTTTCTGTGAGCATGAGATCATATAGAAAATGTGAAAGCCCGCTGAATCCTCCAGCACAAATCCTGGAATAGAGAAAGTGCTCTGGTCATCACAAAAAAAACTTGCCCCCTCACCCAAATCCCCCATCTCACCCCTACTTCCAATCACCTGTGGAGATACAGATAGATCATGGGGAGGTAAATGCTAATACTCCTTGGAGTGAGTCCAGATCTTGGAATCAGAGATCAGTGCCAGCACTAGCTCCTGCTCCCCTTTCCTACTAATTCACAGGAGGACAGGTGGTATTGAAGCAATAGATAGTCGAGGGGGTGGTCCTTCCCCCAGCCTCTGAGGTAGAACAGCAGCCTAACATGTGTCTCCCGAGATCACAAAGAGTAGCACATTTCACACGGGCTTCAACACTATTTTCTGGCTGTTTGACATAAGAGAATTCTACTTCGCTTTTTTTATATTGATTTCACTTTTGTTTCCTTTTCTTGGAGAATGCAAGTTGTTTAACTCAAGAATGCCGTGGATGTAGAAATCCTAAAGCACATTCGCTGTGTATCAATCCCAGTCCAGTCTTCCCAGAGAAGACTCTAAACACCTCCTGGACTGCACCTGGGCCTATGCCAATTCCTATCACTCACCGTCACTCCAGGGAGACAGAACACACAGAGAATACGTTACATAGGCAGGTTCATTACTAACAGATAAGCAGCGAGTGACAACAGAAGCCTACATTTCAATGTGAGCCAGTTCCCCAAGGCTCAGAAAAGCTGCTCGAGACATGTGGAGTCACCCCATTTGCAGTGTAGCTGGGGGAAGCCAGAAAGCAGCCCAGCCTGGGTTTTGTACCCTGGAGCCACAGGAAGCACTCAGCTAAAGCACTGCATGACGTCCTCCTCCAGGAAGAACAGGAAGACAGCCCAGGCTGTTCTGGGACGATCCTCCTGATCTCAGGACTTTGCTGTCTTAGTCCATTTTTGTTGCTCTAAAGGAACACTTGAGCCTGGGTAACTTCTAAAGAAGAGATTGGTTTGCCTCACCATTCTGCAGGCTGTACTGGAAGCATGGCACCAGCATCTATTTCTTATGATGGCCTCAGGCCGCTCCCACTCTGGCAGAAGGGAAGGAGGGTCTGTCTGTGCAGAGACCACAGAGATCACACGGCAAGAGAGGGAGCAAGGGGGAGGGGGAGCAATGGAGCTTCCAAGCTCTTTTTAACAACCAGCTCTCCAGGAACTAATAGAGAGGGAACTTGCTAACCCCGTCTCCTTGGGACAGCATTGATCTGTTCATGATGGATCCACCTCCATGACCCAAACACCTCCCAAGAGGCCCAACCTCCCACACTGGGGGTTAAATTTCAATGTGAGGTTTGAAGGGGTCAAACATCTCAACTAAAGTAGTTGTATCCTCAGCACGTTCCATGGTTACTATGAGAGCTATAACTGAGAAAGCAGGAGGAAGCTAGGTCTCCCGCCATCTGGGTGCTTGTCCGAAAGAGATGCTGTAAGTGGTTACCTGTCAATCAAGAAATGCAAGACAATTCATATAGAGAAACTGCTATGATTAGCTTCTTACTGGTGTCTCCTCTTCTTCCAGGTAACCCCAGACACCTGCACATTCTGATTGGGACCTCAGTGGTCATCATCCTCTTCATCCTCCTCCTCTTCTTTCTCCTTCATCTCTGGTGCTCCAACAAAAAAAGTAAGTCTCACGGGGCACAGGCCAGAGAGCTCAGGGCCATGTGGGGAAGCAGGATGGGAGCACACAGCTGTGTGTTCCTCACTGGCAGGATGGTCCCTGGCCCAAGACAGGAGCCACAGAGGCAGGACTTTCTAGAGAGAGCACCAGACTCCCTGCCCCTGCCTTCAGCTCACAGACCGTTGCCTGATTCTGAACTGTATCCTCATGTCCCCTGCAGCCACTCACATCCAGGAGAAGGTTCCATGAGAGGCAGAAAGTGGGAGACAGAATCAATGGGATGGGAACTCAGAGCTATTCATGGGATGGGTCCTTGAGCTCAGAGAGATAGAATGTCTGAGTCTGCTGTTGGCAACTGAGGGACCTCAGGCACCTATGGCCTCCCCCTGTTTGTTGGTATCTGCTTATGAAATGAGGACCCAGAAGTGCCCTCCGAGCTCTTTTGTTGACTTCCGTCTCCTACAGATGCTGCTGTAATGGACCAAGAGCCTGCAGGGAACAGAACAGCCAACAGCGAGGTAGGTGCTCCTCGGCCCAGCCTCGTGGCTAGTGTTATTCCCAAACAGTCCTGGAAAACGTGAGCACCCTCCCTCACTCAGCATTTCCCTCCCTCACTCAGCATTTCCCTCTCTCCAGGACTCTGATGAACAAGACCCTGAGGAGGTGACATACGCACAGTTGGATCACTGCGTTTTCACACAGAGAAAAATCACTCGCCCTTCTCAGAGGCCCAAGACACCCCCTACAGATACCATCTTGTACACGGAACTTCCAAATGCTAAGCCCAGATCCAAAGTTGTCTCCTGCCCATGAGCACCACAGTCAGGCCTTGAGGACGTCTTCTAGGGAGACAACAGCCCTGTCTCAAAACCGAGTTGCCAGCTCCCATGTACCAGCAGCTGGAATCTGAAGGCGTGAGTCTTCATCTTAGGGCATCGCTCCTCCTCACGCCACAAATCTGGTGCCTCTCTCTTGCTTACAAATGTCTAGGTCCCCACTGCCTGCTGGAAAGAAAACACACTCCTTTGCTTAGCCCACAGTTCTCCATTTCACTTGACCCCTGCCCACCTCTCCAACCTAACTGGCTTACTTCCTAGTCTACTTGAGGCTGCAATCACACTGAGGAACTCACAATTCCAAACATACAAGAGGCTCCCTCTTGACGTGGCACTTACCCACGTGCTGTTCCACCTTCCCTCATGCTGTTTCACCTTTCTTCGGACTATTTTCCAGCCTTCTGTCAGCAGTGAAACTTATAAAATTTTTTGTGATTTCAATGTAGCTGTCTCCTCTTCAAATAAACATGTCTGCCCTCATTGCTTCAGGTAATGTGACACTGTATTCGCTGAAAGAAACCGCTGTTATCATTACCATGTCCACATAACCCCATCTGTTCTCCGCTGGGTTCTCACCCCTGGATTCTGAGCTTCTGGAAGCAGGGTGGAGCCTCATTTGTCTCTGGGACTCCAATTTCCATCCAAAGATGCAGCACATAGGAGGTTCCAAGGATCGTGAATCACATGAACAAGTGATATTCTTACTCTCTGCAACCTGGAAAGCTGGCAGAGTCATTCCACGATGAAACATTTGTAGAGTCATAAGCCTTGCTAGTCTCATCTCCACGGGGACACATATCAACACATCATATTTCATACTATAAATATACAGTCGCTCCTCCATATCTGTGGGGTTTACAGGTGTTTATTGAACCAAGTGTAAATCAAAAATATTCAGAGAAAATGTCCACAAAGTTTCAAAATGCAAAACTATGTTGAATGGACACAAATGAGGCAGTGTGTAGGCTGTATCAGGAATTATAAGTAATCAAGAGATGATTTCATGTATACAGGAGGATGTGCATGGGTTATATCCAAATGCTGTGTCATTTTATGTAAGAGGCTTGAGCATCTGCAGATTTTGGTACCTGAGTGGAGATCCTGAAACCAATCACCCACGAATAGTAAAGGATGACCGTATATGACTTTTATTTCTCAATTTTAAATATAAATCATAAAAAATGTACAATAACTAGATAAAAAGTAAGAAGTGTTTTTATAGTGTGAGAATAAGTTTAGATTTATTTTTTCCTACGTGTAACCCTTTGGTTTAATATTATTTATTAAGAAGACATTCTATGCCACCTTAAACCACACGGCAGCCTTTGTCAACTCTAAAGGGACTGTGTGTACACGGATGTATTTTAGACACTGTTTCTGCTAAGGGGCTCTCTGTGTCCACACTCTTGAGGATGCTGCACTTCATGTAGCCTTATAAAACCCTTTAAATTTAGTAGCCAGAGCCCTCTAATTTGTTATTATAGGCTACTTGCTATTTTTTTTTCTTGAGGCGGAGTCTTGCTCTGTCGCCCAGGCGGGACTGTAGTGGAGCAATCTCAGCTCACTGCAACTTCCGCCTCCCAGGTTCAGGCGATTCTCGTGCCTCAGCCTCTTGAGTAGCTGGCGTTACAGGTGCCTGCCACCAGGCACGGCTAATTTTTGGATTTTTAGCAGAGACACGGTTTCACTATGTTGGCCAGGCTGCTCTCAATCTCCTCATCTCAGTTGATCCGCCCACCTCGGCTTCCCGACCTGCTGGGGGAAACTTGATTTTCTATAGCATTATGTTACTGGATATTTCTGTAAAATTTAAAATGAGGGAGGCAGAGAGACAGAGAGAGAGCAAACTCCAAAGTTGGGACTCTGGAATCTTGAGTCATGAGACAAATTATAGATAAAACTACAAAAATCCAGAATTTACATGTGTGGTTTTTGCTGATAAAGTACAATTCTAAGATTGTAAATAATTGCATAATCCTTCCCTGGGAATTTAAATCATTTGAACTGGTTCTGCTGTAATACTAGAAATACAAGCATGAACAATTCTAATGGTTTATTAGTCACAATGACTCTGAAAACACTAATAATACCTATTAGATATTTTGCATATTACACAGGAAGAAGAGTTCGAATCTCAGATAAAAACAATAAAAATTCATGAAAAGTCTTTCATGTTAGCACAGATTTTAGGCATCTCATGTTTGGGAGGTTGGATCTAAGACATGTTTTGAGTTGGTCATAGTGAAGGACGCGAGGTGTCAATTCTAGTGAGAGCAATTTCCAGGAAGCCATGTTCCGCTCTTGAGCGAGCACCCACTGGGCCTCATGCAAGGTAGAAAAAGCCTGCGTACGTCACCCTCCCATGATGTGGTCAACATGTAAACTGCATGGGCAGGGCGCCAAATAACATCCTGTGTGCTGCTGAGCTGAGCTGGGGCGCGGCCGCCTGTCTGCACCGGCAGCACCATGTCGCTCATGGTCATCATCATGGCGTGTGTTGGTGAGTCCTGGAAGGGAATAGAGGGAGGGAGCGTGGGGATGGAGATCTGGGCCCAGAGGTGGAGATATGGGCCTGGAGGTGGAGTTATGGGCCTGGAGTGGAGATCTGGGCCTAGAGATGGAGTGATGAGCCTAGAAGTGGAGATCTGCGCCTGGAGTGGAGATCTGGGCCTGGAGTGAAGATCTGGGCCTGGAGTGGAGATATGGGCCTGGAGTGGGGATAGGAACCTGGAGTGGAGAGAGGAACCTGGAGGAGAGATAGGAACCTGGAGGGGAGGTAGGAGCCTAGGGTGGAGATATGGGACTGGAGTGGAGATATGGGACTGGAGTGGAGATATGGGCCTGGAGTGGAGTTATGGGCCTGGAGTGAAGTTATGGGCCTGGAGGTGGAGATACGGGCCTGGAGTGGAGATATGAGCCTGGAGTGGAGATATGGTCCTGGAGTGGAGATATGGGCCTGGAGTGGAGATATGGGTCTGCAGTGGAGTTATGGGCCTGGAGTGAAGTTATGGGCCTGGATTGGAGATATGGGCCGAGGGTGGAGATCTGAGCCTGGATTGGAGATGTGGGCCCGGATTGGCTATATGGGTCTAGGGTGGAAATATCGGCCTGGAGTGGAGATATGGGCCTGGAGTGGAGATATGGGCTTGGGGTGGGGATATGGGCCTGGAGGCTGGGTCTCTGTACAGCCGAGAGCACTGTTCTTGGGTGCAGGTAGGCACTGATGGTGAGTTTACCTTCGGCCCAGGAAGGGGCTGGCTATCAAGACTCACAGCCCAGTGGGGGCAGCAAGGAAGGCCTTGTTTGCCTGCAAATGGATCTTCCATCATGATCTTTCTTTCCAGGGTTCTTCTTGCTGCAGGGGGCCTGGCCACAGGAGGGTAAGTCCTTCTCCAAACCTTAGGGTGTCATCTCCCCACATAAGAGGATTTTCCTGAAACGGGAGGGAAGTCCTGTCAGGGAGTCTCTCATAAACTAGGAAGAGGGGACCCTGGGGTGCTCGGCCCACAGTTCCGACCTTGCCTCCCTGGCCTCTCAACCCCTTGGCAGAGTCAAGTTGTGTGGGGACCAGGGTTGGACTAGGGTGTTCAAAGCTGGGTTGTGTGGTGGGGAAGTGGTAGGAACAGCAGATCCTCTGAGGACAAAGGTGTTACTCACACACTTCAGCGTTTCCATGACGGTAGGGGCTGCAGTGTGGCTGCTGTCATTCTACCAGAAGAGGTGGGAAACCACAGCCATGGCCCTGACATTCCAAATCCTCTGATGGGGGCTAAGTTTTTTATTTTCATTCAGGCAACTGCTGATATTCCATTCTCAAAGGACATGCCCTCCACTTCATGTCTACCCTGTGTTGTTTTATGTCAGTAATCTTACAGTATTAAAATCTAGTAGGAGTCTCTTACTCAGCACTTGCTCAAAGTTCTCAGCTGACACTTTTGTTGTACGGAGACACCTTGTCTTTGTGGGATGGGTCCTTCCTTTAGCCCTAGGCACCAAGGTGTGATAGCAGCCATAGAAATGTGGAAAGTGGGGAGAATCTTCTGAGCACAGGGAGGGAGGCACAGCTCCACATCCTCCTCTCTAAGGCGGCGCCTCCTTCACCCCAAGGTGGTCAGGACAAGCCCTTGCTTTCTACCTGGCCCAGCCTTGTGGTGCCTCCAGAACATGTGACTCTTCAGTGTCACTCTAATCTTGGGTTTAACAACTTCAGTCTGTACAAGGATGATGGGGTGCCTGTCCCTGAGCTGTACAACAGAATATTCTGGAAAAGCCTTTTCATGGGCCCTGTGACCCCGTCACATGCAGGGACCTATAGATGCCGGGGTTCACACACACACTCCCCCAGTGGGTGGTCGGCACCCAGCAACCCCCTGGTGATCATGGTCACAGGTCAGAGGGCTCCTGTCTGGGATTCTCCTTGTCCCACCTCCTGAATCCCAGAGCTTCTGGTAGGCATGTCCTTGAGGGTCCCATCACGCAGGCCCTAACTGTATTTGGGGTAAAGGGGGATTGAATACAGGGAAATGGGTGCTGTGGTGGGAAGAATAAGTGTCCCCAGTGATGACTGCATTCTAATCCCTGGAGTCTGTGACTATTTATGTTATAGGGGAAGGGACTGAAGGGGAAGATGGAGCTCAGGTTGTTGATGAGTTGACCTTGAGATGGGGAGACAGCCTGGACTGTCCCGGTGGGCTCAATATAATCACAAGTGTCCACATGAAAGGAGGAGGAAGAGGAGAGTGGGGATTAGAGCAGCGTAGTGGGAGACTCCATTAGCTTTGAAGGTGGATGAAGGCCATAAGCCATGAATGCAGGTGGCCTATAGAGGCTGGGAAAGTCAAGTAACTGATTCTCCTGAGTCTCCAGAGGGAACACAGCCCTGCAGATGCCTTGATTTTAGCCCTCGAAAAACAGGGTCCGCTTTCTGTCTCCAGAATCGGAGGGGGTCAGTGTGCTCTCTCCTGCTGCCATGCTTCTGATAATTTTCTACAGCAGCAACAGGAAACCAACACTGGAACCCAGGTCAAGGACAAGTTAAGAAAAGACACAAGGATAGCCAGGCATGGTGGCAGGTGCATGTAATCCTAGCGACTCGGGAGGCTGAGAGCAGGAGAATCGCTTGAACCCAGGAGACAGAGGTTGCAGTGAGCGTAGACCACACCACTTCACTCCAGCCTGGGTGAAGGAGTGAGACTCTGTCTCCAAAATTAATTAATTAATTAAAGAAACCAAACAAAGAGAAGGTTGGCTACACCGAGATCAGCAAGGGTGGGATGATGATGCCACCACCAGGCTCCATCCACATAGGGAGGGGTTGATACTCCTCAAATCAGCACGAGGAGCCAGCCTATGGAAACTGGCACCATGGAGAAGGCACAGACATGGCAAGAGTGGCTCCCAGTCCCCACCAGGAACAGGGTGTGTGGACACTGGTGCCTGCCTTACTGATCAGTTCATACCTCCTGCCAAGGATTCCAATTCGTCCAAAAGAGATTGAACCAGGCTGCTAAGAGCCGGGACGTGCAGCCTATCCTGCTTCCTCTTCCACTCCCACATAGACAGTAAGAAAGACATTAGTGTGAAATAGATACAACAGCCCAAGAGATGAGGCTGAGCCCAGTGGGAAGGGAATCACAGCTACTAGAGACAGAGGGACAGAGAAGAGGGAGGGAGACAGATGGAAGGACCTGCACCAGGAGTTATGGGCACAGAAAAGAACATGAAGACACAGAGAGGAAGCAGAGAGACAGACACCAGCGAAGGGAAGTCTCACTCATTCCAGGTGCCATGGATGGGATGATAAAGAGAGACACCTTCTAAACTCACAACCTCTCTTCCTAGGAGTCCACAGAAAACCTTCCTTCCTGGCCCTCCCAGGTCACCTGGTGAAATCAGAAGAGACAGTCATCCTGCAATGTTGGTCGGATGTCATGTTTGAGCACTTCCTTCTGCACAGAGAGGGGAAGTTTAACAACACTTTGCACCTCATTGGAGAGCACCATGATGGGGTTTCCAAGGCCAACTTCTCCATTGGTCCCATGATGCCTGTCCTTGCAGGAACCTACAGATGCTACGGTTCTGTTCCTCACTCCCCCTATCAGTTGTCAGCTCCCAGTGACCCTCTGGACATGGTGATCATAGGTGAGAGTGTCCAGACATTCTTCTCATTGTCATTGGGATGCAGAGTGAATGATCCAGGACTTGGAGACCCAGGTGGTTGTAAGGAAGATGAGCTTGGTATTCTTATGGAGAGAGACTGACTTGGTGAGGTCTGTGCCAACAGAGACAGAGAAACAAGAGACACAAGTACAGACCAGGTGTCATAACAGAGGACAAACACAGGGGCCATACCGGGAGTTAGAAAAGACAGAAAGAGTTAAAGGAGACAGACAGACATGTCCCAGACAGAGGTGTCCTTCCATGCTGACTTTGCTCAGAGACCTGGCACAGGTTAGAAGTTTCATTTCTGTTTTACCTCCACAAAGTGTTCTCTACCAGGAGAACCCAAGGACACCCATATTTCTGACCTGAGTTGGGCCCTGTGGCCTCAGGCCTTGTGGCACCTACAGATGCCATGCTTATTCTGACACCTCTGACTTCCATGCAATGGAGAATAATCGTCCCAAAATATCATGGCCCCAGAACACCAACCCCTGTATGCTGTGTGAACTTGTGGTCTCCAGACTGGATTCTGAGGCTCACATTCCAAATAACCCCACATATCACATATGAGAGGATCACTGAGAAGCACAGAGAGAAATCAGGGACACCAAAAAGCAAAGACATAAACACACAGAGAAAGAGCCAGAGGAAGGAGATTGAGAGACTCACAGACACATAAAGAGAGAGAAGAGGGCAGAGAAGTGGAGAGAATGATGGAAGAGAGCAGAGAAAACCACTAAAATTAGAGTCCTGAGGGCGAGGCACAAGGGCATAGAAAGATGGAGATGTGGGGATGAATTGCAGAGATTCCAAAGAGAACTAGAGAGACCGAGAGGCAGAGCAAGACAGATGATAGATGGATAGATACAGATAGATGATGGATAGATATAGATAGATGATATATAGGTAGATGATAGATAATAGGTTATAGATACATAGATGATGATTGATTGATTCATTAATAGATGATACATAGAGATGATGATGATGAAGATAGATGGATAGATAATACATAGAGATAGAGAGGAAGACAAAGAGAGAAATAATAGAGAGAGAGAGATGATACATATATATAGATAATAGATGATTGACGGATAGACAATTGATAGATAAATAGATGATATATAGATATAGATGACAGGTAGAGAATTTGTAGATAGGCACCGAATAGATAAATAGATGGATTGATAGATAATAGATAGAAATATGCAGAAAGTTATGAACGGGACACAAACTGAGAAACTCAGAGTTAAAAAAAGTAACATCAAGTCAACCAATCCAAGGAGAGCCAGAGAGAATAAAACAATCCAAAAAAGGAAAACATAACTAGAGGTAGGGAAGTGAGGTCAGAGACCTACAGAGACAGAGAAGGTGGAAGGAGGAAATAGACATGAAGAGAGATAGGGTGGAGGGTGAGACAGAGAAAGAGAGCATTAGGCCATAGAGCAGGGGAGTGAGTTCTCAGGTCAGGTGTGAGGGGAGCTGTGACAAGGAAGATCCCCCCTGAGGAAACTGCCCCTTCTCCTTCCAGGTCTATATGAGAAACCTTCTCTCTCAGCCCAGCCGGGCCCCACGGTTCAGGCAGGAGAGAATGTGACCTTGTCCTGCAGCTCCCGGAGCTCCTATGACATGTACCATCTATCCAGGGAAGGGGAGGCCCATGAACGTAGGCTCCCTGCAGTGCGCAGCATCAACGGAACATTCCAGGCCGACTTTCCTCTGGGCCCTGCCACCCACGGAGGGACCTACAGATGCTTCGGCTCTTTCCGTGACGCTCCCTACGAGTGGTCAAACTCGAGTGATCCACTGCTTGTTTCCGTCACAGGTGAGGAAACCCCATATCTGTCCCATGTCCTATGATCCTAGAGCCTTAGCTGAGGAGCTTCCTGCTGATGATGGAGAGAAGCATGGACAGATGCAGAGAGAAGACGCAGCATGCCTGTGAGGGAGGGATCAGGGCGCAGGATGGCACACACAGCACCTCCAAACCCTCCTGCATGGCCTGCATGGAGGCCTCCGATTAGGGCTCCAGAAACCCAGGCAGATGTAGAAAGCGGTCAGGAGAGACCCAGAGAAGGGGAGACTGGGCTCAGTTTGGGGAGATCAGAGGTTCCCTCAGCCCCTCAACCTTACCCATTTCCCAGAAGCCCTTCCTGGCCTCTCACCCACACAGAGATGTCATCACCAGCAACCCCTACATCCTTTTCTTTTTGTTTGAAAAAATATTCATTGAGGTTAAATATACCTATATAGCTTACCACTTTTAACATTTTTTTTTTTTTGAGGTGGAGTCTAGCTCTGTCTCCTATGCTGGAATGCAGTGGCACAATCTCAGCTCACTGTAACCTCCGCCTCCTGGGTTCAAGCGATTCTCCTGCCTCAGCCACCTGAGTAGCTGGTACTACAGGCGCCCATCACCACGCCGGGCTACTTTTTGTATATTTAGTAGAGAGGGGGTTTCACCATGTTGGTCGAGCTGCTCTGGAACTCCTGACCACGTGATCCACCCGCCTCAGGCTCCCAAAGTGCTGGGATTACAGGCATGAGCCACCGCGCCCGGCCACGTTTACCAATTTTAAGTGTAAGGTCTAGTGGTCATAAATACATACATATAAATTTTTTGTTTGTTTGTTTTATCCTCCACCCTTTTCTTCCTGGCCTCTGGTAGCCACCATTCTACTCTCTATCTTCATGAGATCCACCTTTTAGCTCCTGTATATGGGTGAGAAATGAGAATATTTGTAATGACTTCCAGTTCCATCCATGTGGCTGCAAATATCAGGATGTTATTCTTTCTATGGATGAGTAGTCTCCGCTGTGCGTATGTACTACATTCTCTCTATCCATTCATCCACTGATGGGCAGGTAGGTTGACTCCACATCTTGGCTACTGTGAAGAGTGCTGCACCAATCATACGAGTGCAGATATCACTTCGATACATTGATTTACTTTCCTTTGGATATAAACCCAGTAGTGAAATTGCTGGATACTATGAAAGTTCTCTTTTTAGTTTTTCGTTTGTTGTTTTGTTTTTGTTTTTGAGACAGTTTCCCTCTGTGCCCAGGCTGGAGTACAAGTGATGTGATCTTGGCTCATTGCAACCTCCGCCTCCTGGGTTCAAATGATTTTCCTGCCTCAGCCTCCCTAGTAGCTGGGATTACAGGTGCACGCCACCATGCCGGGATACTTTTTGGTTTTTTTTAGTGTACATGGGGTTTCCCCAGGTTGGCTAGGCTGCTCTCAAACTCATGACCTCAACTGAGGTGCCCGCCTCGGTCTCCCAAAGTGCCGGGATTACAGGCATGATCCACTTCATCCAACCTCTTTTTAGTTCTTTAAAGGACTTCCATACTTTTCTCCGTAATGGCTGTACTAATTTACACTCCTACCAACAGGGTACCAGGGTTCTCCTTTCTCTACCACCTTGCCAGCATTTGTTTTGCCTGTCTTGCAGCTAAAAGCCATTTTATTTTATTTCATTTTATTTTGAGATGGAGTTTCGCTCTTGTCACCCAGGCTGGAGTGCAGTGGTGCGATCTCGGCTCACCGCAACCTCCACCTCCCAGGTTCAAGCGATTCTCCTGCCTCAGCCTCCCGAGTAGCTGGAATTACAGGCACACACCACCACGCCCGACTAATTTTTGTATTTTTAGTAGAGACAGCGTTTCTCCATGTGGGTCAGACTGGTCTCAAACTCCCGACCTTATGAGATTCGCCCACCTCGGGCTCTCAGAGTTCTAGGATGACAGACGTGAGCCACCTCGCCCGGCCTAAAAGCCATTTTAATGGGGTGAGATGAAAACTCACTTTGATTTTAATTCGCGTTTCTCTGATGATGAGTGATACTGAGCACTTTTTCGTATGTGGGGAAATTTCATGTCTTTTGCTCCTTTTTCAATTAAATCATTTGTTTTATTGAGTTGTTTGAGCTTCTTATACTTCTAGTTATTAATCCCGTCTCAGATGCATAGTTTGCACATATTTGCTCCCAATCTGTGGGTTGTCTCTTCACTTTGTTGGTTTATTTTTAGCGGTGCAGAAGTTGCTTAGTTTGAGGTAATCCCAATGGTCTATTTTTGCTTCGATTACTTGTGTTTTGAAGGTTTAAAACAAAATGTCTTCCTTCAGACAAATGTACTGGAGCATTTCCCCAATATTTTCTTCTACGTGTTTCACAGGTTCAGGCCTTAGACTCACATCTTTAATCCACTTTCATTTGATTTTTGTGTATGGTGACAGGTAGAGGTGCAGTTTCATTCCTCTGCATGTAGATGTCCAGGTTTCCCTGCACTGTTTATTGAAAAAACTGTCCTTTCCTGATTGTGAGTTCTTGGCACCTTTGTCAAAGTCCATTGGATGGGCTGGGCATGGTGGCTAACACCAGCAACTTCAGCACTTTGGGAGGCCAAGGCTGGTGGATCACCTGAGGACAGGAGTACAAGATTACTCTGGCCGACGTGATGAAACATCGTCTCCACTAAAAATATAAAAATTAGCTGAGCATGGTGGTCAGCACCTGTAATACTACTACTCAGGAGTTTGAGGCAAGAGAATTGATTGAACCCAGGAGGCTGAGGTTGCAGTGAACCGAGATTGCACCTCTGCACTCCAGCCTGGGTGACAGAGCAAGACTCCATCTCAAAAGAAAAAATAAAAAAAATTGGATGTAAATGCATGGATTATATCTGTGTTCTTCATTCTGCTCCGTTGTTCTATGTGCCTTTCTTCATGCCAACATCATGCTGTTTTGCTTACTACAGCTCTGTAACATATTTTGAGATCAGGTAGTGTGATGCTCCTGTTTTCTCTTTATACCTTGAAGTCTCAAGACAGTGGGCGTCACATACAAAAATTATGGAAGAAAGGATCCCTGGACTCCCAGGGCCCAATGTTAGATAACAGAGTGTTGGCCATGAACCAAACTCAAAGATTTCCACTGAGTAGAGGACAGACACCCTCATTTCCTCACCTCTCTCCTGTCTCATGTTCTAGGAAACCCTTCAAATAGTTGGCCTTCACCCACTGAACCAAGCTCCAAAACCGGTGAGTACAGGACCCTCTTATATCCGCTTTTGGAACCCTGGGGAGGTGGAAACCTTGGATTCAGGCGTTGACTCAGCATCTCACAGCTCTGACATTGTACGCCTGTCTTCTACCATCTCCGAACTCCAGATACTCCAACAGCGAAAGGGATCTGGGCCCAACACAGGGCTCAGTGAAATCTCTTCATCTCTCATTTTATGGAGCTGAGACCTCCTACAAGCTAGAAGAATGATTGCCAATCTGACATCCTTCTCAGGAAAAACGCAATGTTTGTTCTGCTTGCATTCCTAACTGGAGGATAAATTCCTGGGGGCTTGAGAGAGGGAAGGGAAGCGAACATCTGATGAGGGCGAGGTGTTTTAGAGAAGTTCCACTTGCCAAGGAATGAGCTCCTGTTGGTCATGAAACAACCCTGGCTGACTCAGCAGAGCAAGAGCCTTGCCGTAACAGAGAACAGAGCTCATGCACGCACACTTTGACTCACTGACTTATTCAGCCACGGCCCCATGCTCAGGTTGTGCAGTGTGGAAGCTTTTCCTATTGTTGCCATAACAAATTTCCACAAGATTCGTGGGTGAAAACAAAACGGTTATTTAATTATCTTACAGTGCTCTAGCTCAAAGCATGAAGTGCATCTCACTGGGCTAAAATCAAGATGACAGCAAGCCTGCCTTCCCTCTGAGGATTCCAGGCAAGAATCTGCTTCTCACTTGTCCCATCTTATAAAGGCTCCCAGTTCCTTGGCTGCTGGTCCCTTTCCTCCTTCCTCAAAACCCACAAAGACTGGTCACATCTCACATGGCATCACTCAGACCCTTCTTCCTTACCACACCTCTTTCTCTGAATGCTGCTCTCCCTTCTTCCTCATCTTTTGAAAACTTGGGGATTCTATTGGGTTCACCAAGATGAAAATCCGTCATAATCTCCCGGAAATCATTCAGGATACCCTTGTTTTAAGTTCAGCTGATTAGCAACCATAATTCCATCTGCAATCTTCATTCCTCCTTTCCATGTAAAATAACATATTCACAAGCTATGGAGGCTAGGACAGGGACATTTTGGGGTGGGACAGCATTCTCCTGCCTTCCACAAATGGTGAACAAGATGCATTTGGCCTCTGCTCTTGGGACACTGATATTGCAGATGGTTAAATGGGAGGACAGAAAATGAATGCACAAGTGGACCAATAAATGAATGATCCATTGGGAAGCATCTGTGCATGAAATCTATTTGTTTGTTTGTTCGTTTGTTTATTGAGACAGAGTCTCCCTCTGTCTTCCAGGCTACAGTGCAGTGTCACGATCTTGGCTCACTGCAACCTGCGTCTCCTGGATCCAAGTGATTCTCCTGCCTCACCCTCTCGAGTAGCTGGGATTACAGGCAACTGCCACCATGCCCGGCTAATTCTTTTTGTATATTTTTTGTAGAGAGGATGTTTCACCATGTTGGCCAAGCTTGTCTGAAACTCCCAACCTCAAGTGATCCGACCATCTCAGCAACCCAAAGTACTGGGATTACAGGCGTGAGCCACTTTGCCCAGCCAGAATTCAAAATAAATAATAGATAATGCTGAGTGTATAATTTTGGGTGACAGAGAAGGTCTCACTAATCAGATATTTGTGACATTAATGAAAAACACGGATTGAACCCCTGAAAGATTGGCGGAAGGATTTTCCACACACAGCTGTCAGCTGTGAAGGCACAAAGGTGAAAACAATCTGATGTTGAAGGAAGAGGCTCTGCCTGAAATGCTGGGAATGAGGTGGGGAGAATGACAAGATGACTGTAGAGAGATGGAGAGCACTCTGGGTACACAGGAAACTAAGGAGGAACAAGGAGTGTGTGTTTGACACTCACAGCCATTGGATTCACCTCGGGGTAACCAGGAATCCCTACATGATTAATAGTGACTGACAAGAAAATAAGGGAGGCCCAGGTGCGTAACTGGAATCTAGGAGACTGTGGAAAAGGCAATTGCCGCCCCACTGGTGAAATGTGGTGCTGATTTAGACACTAAATGAATGAAGTAGATGGATATAAGATATGCTTGTGAGGTAGAATCATTGGCTGGAAAGGCTTGCTGGGTTTGATTTTCCTACTTGTTTAATCCTCGCTTAATTAATTTCTTTCTGAGATTTATTCATCCTACACATAAATCAATACCTGGCAAAGGAGTGACAGATATATGAGGGGTGGTGGAAATGAAGGGACCTATTATAGCATAATATACAAGTCTGTGAACGGTGGCTCATGCTTGTAACCCAGCCCTGCAGGAGGCCAAGGCGGGTGGATTCCATGAAGTCAGGAGTTCCAGACCAGCCTGGCCAACATGGTGAAACCCTATCTGTACTAAAAATACAAAAATTAGCCGAGCATGGTGGTGCATCCCTGTAATCCCAGCTCCTACTCTGGAGGATGAAGCAGGAGAATGACTTCAACCCAGGAGGTGGAGGTTGCAGTGAGTGGAGATTGCATCACTGCACTCCAGCCTGGGTGACACAAGGAGACTCCGTCTCAAAAAATAAAAATAAGAAATGCATAAATATAATAAAACACACACGAATGACAAAGGCACCTGAATTCCAATCATCATTTTTCTATTTCTCTATAATTACTTCTTTGATCCTTTATCTTATCCATTAGGCAATCAGCCTAAAACCTCTTCCCTATTTGGCTTTCTGTGAGCATGAGATCACATAGAAAATGTGAAAGCCCGCTGAATCCTCCAGCACGGATCCTGGAATAGAGAAAGTGCTCTGGTCATCGCAAAAAAAAACTTGCCCACTCACCCAAATCGCCCACCTCACCCCTACTTCCAATCACCTGTGGAGATTCAGATAGACCATGGGGAGGAAACATTAATATTCCTTGGAGTGAGTCCAGATCTTGGAATCAGAGATCAGCGACAGCACTAGCTCCTGTTCCCCTTTCCTACTAATTCACAGGAGGACAGGTGGTATTGAAGCAATAGATGGTGGAGGGGGTGGTCCTTCCCCCAGCCTCTCGGGTAGAACAGCAGCCTAACATGTGTCTCCCGAGATCACAAAGAGCAGCACATTTCACACGGGCTTCAACACTATTTTCTGGCTGTTTGACATAAGAGAATCTTGCTTCGCTATTTTTAATCGTGATTTCACCTTTGTTTCCTTTCCTTGGTGAATGCAATTTGTTTGACTCAAGAATGCTGTGGATGTAGAAATCCTAAAGCACATTCGCTGTGTATCAATCCCAGTGCAGTCTTCCCAGAGAAGACTCTAAACAAATCCTGGACTGCACCTGGGCCTATGCCAATTCCTATCACTCACCGTCACTCCAGGGAGACAGAACACACAGAGGATACGTTACATAGGCAGGTTCATTACTAACAGATAAGCAGCGAGTGACAACAGAAGCCTGCATTTCAATGTGAGCCAGTCCCTCAAGGCTCAGAAAAGCTGCTCGGGACATATGGAGTCACCCCATTTGCAGTGTAACTGGGGGAAGCCAGAAAGCAGCCCAGCCTGGGTTTTGTACCCTGGAGCCACAGGAAGCACTCAGCTAAAGCACTGCATGACGTCCTCCTCCAGGAAGAACAGGAAGACAGCCCAGGCTGTTCTGAGACATTCCTCCTGATCTCAGGATGTTGCTATCTTAGTCCATTTTTGTTGCTCTAAAGGAACACTTGAGCCTGGGTAACTTCTAAAGAAAAGAGATTGGTTTGCCTCACAGTTCTGCAGGCTGTACTGGAAGCATGGCACCAGAATCTATTTCTCTTGACGGCCTCAGGCTGCTCCCACTCTGGCAGAAGGGAAGGAGGGTCTGTCTGTGCAGAGACCGCAGAGATCACACGGCAAGAGAGAGAGTAAGGGGGAGAGGGAGCGATGGAGCTTCCAAGCTCTTTTTAACAACCAGCTCTCCAGGAACTAACAGAGGGGGAACTTGCTAACCCCGTCTCCTTGGGACAGCATTGATCTGTTCATGATGGATCCACCTCCATGACCCAAACACCTCTGAAGAGGCCCAACCTCCCACAATGGGGGTGAAATTTCAATGTGAGGTTTGAAAGGGTCAAACATCTCAACTAAAGTAGTTGTATCCTCAGCACGTTCTATGGTTACTATGAGAGCTATAATTGAGAAAGCAGGGGAAAGCTAGGTCTCCCGCCATTTGGGTGCTTGTCCTAAAGAGACGTTGTATGTGGTTACCTGCCAATCAAGAAATGCGAGACAATTCATAAAGAGGAACTGCTATGATTAGCTTCTTATTGGTGTCTCCTCTTCTTCCAGGTAACCCCAGACACCTACATGTTCTGATTGGGACCTCAGTGGTCAAAATCCCTTTCACCATCCTCCTCTTCTTTCTCCTTCATCGCTGGTGCTCCGACAAAAAAAGTAAGTCTCACGAAGCAGAGGCCAGAGAGCTCAGGGCCATGTGGGGAAGCAGGATGGGAGCACGCGGATGTGTGTTCCTCACCAGCAGGATGGTCCCTGGCCCAAGACAGGAGCCACAGAGGCAGGACTTTCTAGAGAGAGCACCAGATTCCCTTCCCCTGCCTTCAGCTCACAGACCATTGCCTGATTCTGAACTGTATCCTCACGTCCCCTGCAGCCACTCACATCCAGGAGAAGGTTCCATGACAGGCAGAAAGTGGGAGATAGAATCAATGGGATGGGAACTCAGAGCTATTCATGGGATGGGTCCTTGAACTCAGAGAGATAGAATGTCTGAGTCTGCTGTTGGCAACTGAGGGACCTCAGGCACCTATGGCCTCCCCCTGTTTGTTGGTATCTGCTTATGAAATGAGGACCCAGAAGTGCCCTCCGAGCTCTTTTGTTGACTTCCGTCTTCTACAGATGCTGCTGTAATGGACCAAGAGCCTGCAGGGAACAGAACAGTGAACAGCGAGGTAGGTGCTCCTCGGCCCAGCCTCGTGGCTAGTCTTATTCCCAAAGAGTCCTGAAAAATGTGAGCACCCTCCCTCACTCAGCATTTCCCTCTCTCCAGGATTCTGATGAACAAGACCATCAGGAGGTGTCATACGCATAATTGGATCACTGTGTTTTCACACAGAGAAAAATCACTCGCCCTTCTGAGAGGCCCAAGACACCCCCAACAGATACCAGCATGTACATAGAACTTCCAAATGCTGAGCCCAGATCCAAAGTTGTCTTCTGTCCACGAGCACCACAGTCAGGCCTTGAGGGGATCTTCTAGGGAGACAACAGCCCTGTCTCAAAACCGGGTTGCCAGCTCCCATGTACCAGCAGCTGGAATCTGAAGGCATCAGTCTTCATCTTAGGGCATCGCTCTTCCTCACACCACGAATCTGAACATGCCTCTCTCTTGCTTACAAATGTCTAAGGTCCCCACTGCCTGCTGGAGAGAAAACACACTCCTTTGCTTAGCCCACAATTCTCCATTTCACTTGACCCCTGCCCACCTCTCCAACCTAACTGGCTTACTTCCTAGTCTACCTGAGGCTGCAATCACACTGAGGAACTCACAATTCCAAACATACAAGAGGCTGCCTCTTAACACAGCACTTAGACACGTGCTGTTCCACCTCCCTTCAGACTATCTTTCAGCCTTCTGCCAGCAGTAAAACTTATAAATTTTTTAAATAATTTCAATGTAGTTTTCCCGCCTTCAAATAAACATGTCTGCCCTCATGGTTTCGGTAACGAGACTCTTTTCTTGCCTAAGGCTTCCGGTGTTATCATTACCATGTCCACATAACCCCATCTGTTCTCCATTGGGTTCTCAGCCCTGGACTCTGAGCTTCTGGAAGCAGAATGTAGCCTGATTTGTCTCTGAGACTCCAATTTCCATCCAAAGATACAGCACATAGGAGGCTCCAAGGATCGTGAATCACATGAACAAGTGATATTCTTACTCTCTGCAGACCTGGAAAGCTGGCAGAGTCATTCCACGATGAAACATTTGTAGAGACATAGGCCTTGTTAGTCTCATCTCCACGGGGACACATATCAACATATCATCTTTCATAATATAAATATACAGTCGGTCCTCCATATCTGTGGGGTTTACAGGTGTTTATTGAACCAACAATAAATCAAAAATATTTTCAGAAAAAAATCCCCGAAGTTTCAAGAAGCAAAAAACTATGTTGAATCGACACAAATTGAGTGGCGTGTAGGCTGTGTCAGGAATTATAAGTAATCAAGAGATGATTTCATGTATACAGGAGGATGTGCATGGGTTCTATGCAATTGCTATGCTATTTTTTTTTTTTTTTGAGACAGTCTCACTCTCTCACCCAGGCTGGAGTGCAGTGGCATGATCTCAGCTCACTGCAACCTCTGCCTCCCAGGTTCAAGCGATTGTCTTCCCTCAGCCTCCCCAGTAGCCTCCCCTAGGATTACAGGCACGTGCCACCATGCACAGATAAATTTTTTTGTGTGTGTATTTTTAGTAGAGACGGGGTTTCAGAATGTTGGACCAGCTGGTCTTGAACTCCTGACCTCGTGATCTACCCAACTCAGCCTCCCAAAGTGCTGGGATTACAGGCGTGAGCCACGGTGCCCAGCTTCGCTATGCCATTTCATGCAAGGGGCTTGAGCATCTGCAGATTTTGGTATCTGAATGGGGATCCTGGAACCAATCACCCAGGAATAGTGAAGGACCACAGTATATAATTTTTATTTGTCAATCTTAAAAATAAAGCATAAAAAGTTTACAACAACAAGATAAAAAATAAGAAGTGTTTTTATAGTGTGAGGATAAGTTTAGATTTATTTTTTCCTACGTGTAACCCTATGGTCCTGTGTTATTTATTGAGAAAATATTCTATTCCACCTTAAACTACATGGCAGCCTTTGTCAACTATAAAGGGACTGTGTATCCACAGATGTATTTTAGACACAGTTTTCTGCCCAGTGGTTCTCTGTATCCCCTCTCATGAGGATGCTGCATTTCATATAAACTTATAGAACCCCTTAAAATTTGGTAACCTGAGTTCTCTGATTTGTTATTATAGGTTATTTAGTTTGCTTTTTTTTTTCTTTCTTGAGACAGACTCTTCCTCTGTCACCCAAGCTGGAGTTCAGTGGCTTGAGCTCAGCTCACTGCAGCCTCCGCCTCCCAGGTTCAAGCAATTCTCGTGCCTCAGGTTTAGTACTAGAAACTCATCAGGAAAATTAGAATGGCTTTTTGTCACAATTACTCTGATAATGTTAATAATACCTCTTAGATATTTTGCACATTACACATGAAGAAAAGTTTGAATCTCAGATAAAAACAAAAATACATCAAAAGTCTTTAATGTAAGCACAGAATTCAATCACCTCATGTGTGAGAGGTTGGATCTGAGACGTCTTTTGAGTCTGGTCATAGTGAAGGATGCAAGGTGGCAATTGTAGTCACAACAATTTCCAGGAAGCCATGTTCCGCTCTTGAGCGAGCACCCACTGGGCCTCATGCAAGGTAGAAAGAGCCTGCGTACGTCACCCTCCCATGATGTGGTCAACATGTAAACTGCATGGGCAGGGCGCCAAATAACATCCTGTGCGCTGCTGAGCTGAGCTGGGGCGCGGCCTCCTGTCTGCACCGGCAGCACCATGTCGCTCACTGTCGTCAGCATGGCGTGCGTTGGTGAGTCCTGGAAGGGAATAGAGGGAGGGAGAGTGGGGATGGAGATCTCGGCCTAGAGGTAAAGATATGGGCCTGGAGTGGAGATATGGGCCTGGAGTGGAGATATGGGCCTGGGTGTGGAGATATGGGCCTGGAGGTGTAAATATGGGCCTGGAGTGCAGATATGGGCCTGGAGGGGAGATATGGGCCTGGGTGTGGAGATATGGGCCTGGAGTGGAGATACGGGCCTGGAGTGGAGATATGGGCCTGGAGTGGAGATATGGGCCTGCAGGTGGAGATCTGGGCCTGGAGTGGAGATATGGGTCTGATGTGGAGATATGGGCCTGGAGTGGAGATATGGGCCTGGAGTGGAGATATGGGCCTAGAGGGGAGATCTGGGCCTGGAGTGGAGATATGGGTCTGATGTGGAGATATGGGCCTGGAGTGGAGATAGGGGCCTGGAGTGGAGATAGGGGCCTGGAGTGGAGATATGGGCCTGGAGTGGAGATCTGGGCCAGGAAGTGTTGATCTGGGCCTGGAGCCTGGGTCTCTCCACAGCTGAGAGCCCTGTTCTTGGCAGCAGGTAGCAGGGAGGCTAAGTTTACCTTCAGCCCAGCAAGGGCCTGGCTGCCAAGACACACAGTGCAGTGGGGGCAGCAGGGTGCCCTGGTTTGCCTGCAGTTGGATCGTCTATCATGATCTTTCTTTCCAGGGTTCTTCTTGCTGCAGGGGGCCTGGCCACTCATGGGTGAGTCCTTCCCCAAACCTTAGGGTGTCATCTCCCCACATAAGAGGATTTTTCTGAAACAGGAGGGAAGTCCTGTCGGGGAGTCTCTCATAAACTAGGAAGAGGGGACCCTTGGATACTCGGCCCACATTTCTGACCTCGCCCTCCCCGGCCTTTCTTTCCCTTTCCTGAGTCAAGCTCTGTGAAGACTGGGGTGAGACTGGGGTGCTCCAAGCTGGGGTGTGCAGGGAGGAAGTGGTGTCAGCAGCAGAGAAAGAGAGGGAAGCAGTGCTAGGAACAGCAGGTCCTCTGAGGACAAAGGTATAACTGACACCCTCCAGCGTTTCCGTGACGGTAGGGGCTGCAGTGTGGCTGCGGTCTTTCTACCAGAAGAGGGGGGAAACCACAGCCATGGCCCTGACATTCCAAATCCTCTGAGGGGGCTCAGTTCATGAATTGGCTGATATTCCATTCACATAGGACATGCCCTCCATGCCGTGTCTACTTTGTGTTGTTTTATGTGAGTAATTTTGCAGTATTAAAATCTAGTAAGAGTCACTTATTCAGCACTTGCTCAAAGTTCTCAGCTGACACTTGTTGTAGGGAGACGCCATGTCTATGTGGGGTGGGTCCTTCCTGTAGCCCTGGGCACCCAGGTGTGGTAGGAGCCTTAGAAAGCGGAAATGGGAGAATCTTCTGAGCACAGGGAGGGAGGGGTGGCTCCACATCCTCCTCTCTAAGGCAGTGCCTCCTTCTCCCCCAGGTGGTCAGGACAAACCCTTCCTGTCTGCCCGGCCCAGCACTGTGGTGCCTCGAGGAGGACACGTGGCTCTTCAGTGTCACTATCGTCGTGGGTTTAACAATTTCATGCTGTACAAAGAAGACAGAAGCCACGTTCCCATCTTCCACGGCAGAATATTCCAGGAGAGCTTCATCATGGGCCCTGTGACCCCAGCACATGCAGGGACCTACAGATGTCGGGGTTCACGCCCACACTCCCTCACTGGGTGGTCGGCACCCAGCAACCCCCTGGTGATCATGGTCACAGGTCAGAGGCTTTCTGTCTGGGCTTCTCACTGTCCCACCTCCTGAATCCCAGAGCTTCTGGTGGGGGTGTCCATCAGGGTCCCATCACCCAGGCCCCAACTGTATTTGGGGTCAAGGGAGATTGAATACAGGGGAAATGGGCGCTGTGGTGGGAAGAATAACTGTCGCCAATGATGGCTACATTGTAAACCCTGGAGCCTGTGACTATTTATGTTATAGGGCAGGGGACTGAAGGGGAAGGTGGAGCTCAGGTTGTTGATGAGTTGACCTTGAGATGGGGAGACAGCCTGGACTGTCCTGCTGGGCTCAGTGTAATCACAAGGGTCCGCGTGAGAGGTGGAGGAAGAGGGGAGTGGGGATTAGAGCAGTGTAGTGGGAGGGAGACGCTATCAGCCACTGTGGGCTTTGAAGGTGGAGGAAGGCCACTAGTCACAGAATGCAGGTGGCCTCTAAGGGCTGGAGAAGTCAAGAGAACTGATTCGCTGAGTCTCCAGAGGGAACGCAGCCCTGCAGATGCCTTGATTTCAGCACAGGGAGAACTGGATCCAATTTCTGTCCCCAGAAGTGGAAGGGGTCAGTGTGTTCTCTCCTGCTGCCATGTTTGTGATAATTTTCTGCAGCAGCAACAGGAAACCGACACAGGAACCCAGGTCAAGGACAAGCTAGGAAACCAAACAAGGATAGCCAGGTGTGGTGGTGGGCACGAGTAATCCAACGACTGGGGAGGCTGAGGCAAGAGAATCACTTGAACCGGGGAGGCAGAGGTTGCAGTGAGCCAAGACAACACCACTGCACTCCAGCCTGGGTGAAAAAGTGACTGTCTCAAAAATAAATTAATTAATCAATTAATTAAAGAAACCAAACAAGGAGAAGGTTGGCTACCGTGGGATCAGCAAGGGTGGGATGCTGATGCCACCACCAGGCTCCATCCACATAGGAAGGGGTTGATGCTCCTGGAACCAGCACCAGGGACCACCCTATGGAAGCTGGGGCCATGGAGAAGGCACAGACATGGCAGGAGAGGCTCCCAATCCCCATCAGGAACAGGGTGTGTGGACACTGATGTCTGCCTTACTGATGAGTTGATACCTCTGCCAGAGACTCCAATTTGTTCAAAAGAGATTGATTCAGGCTGCTGAGAGCCTGGACATGCAGCCTGTCCTCTTCCACCCTCACATAGACAGCAGGAAAGAGACTAGTGGGAAAGAGATACAACAGCCCAAGAGATGAGGCTCTCTTCACAGTGGGAAGGGAGTCAGGGGCTACTGGAGACAGAGGGACAGAGAAGAGGGAGGAAGACAAATGGAGGGACCTGCACCAGGGGATATGGGCACAGAAAAGACACGGAGACACAGAGAGGGAGGAGAGAGACAGACCTCTGGGAGGGGAACCCTCACTCATTCCAGGTGCCATGGATGGGATGATAAAGAGAGATGCCTTCTAAACTCACAACTTCTCTTTCTAGGAAACCACAGAAAACCTTCCCTCCTGGCCCACCCAGGGCCCCTGCTGAAATCAGGAGAGACAGTCATCCTGCAATGTTGGTCAGATGTCATGTTTGAGCACTTCTTTCTGCACAGAGATGGGATCTCTGAGGACCCCTCACGCCTCGTTGGACAGATCCATGATGGGGTCTCCAAGGCCAACTTCTCCATCGGTCCCTTGATGCCTGTCCTTGCAGGAACCTACAGATGTTATGGTTCTGTTCCTCACTCCCCCTATCAGTTGTCAGCTCCCAGTGACCCCCTGGACATCGTGATCACAGGTGAGAGTGTCCAGACATTCTTCTCATTGTCATTGGGACACAGAGTGAATGATCCAGGACTTGGAACCCCCAGGTGGTCATGAGGAAGATAAGCGTGGGATTCTTATGGAGAGAGACTGACTCGGTGAGGTCTGTACCAACAGAGACAGGGAAACAGGAGACATAAGTACAGACCAGGTGTCATAACAGAGGACAGACACAGGGGCCATACGGGGAAGTAGAAAAGAGAGAAAGAGGTAAAGGAGACACTCAGACAGACAGACATGTGCCAGAGAGAAGTGTCCTTCCATGCTGACTTTGCTCAGAGACCTGGCACAGGTTAGAAGTTTCATTTCTGTTTTGTCTCCACAAAGTGCTTCTACGAGGAGAACCCAAGGACACCCATATTTCTGACCTGAGTTGGGCCCTGTGGCCTCAGGCCTTGTGGCATCTACAGATGCCATGTTTATTCTGACACCTCTGCCTTCCATGCAGTGGAGCCATAATTATCCCAGGATATCATGGCCCCAGAACACCAACCCCTAAATACTGTGTGTACTTGGTGTCCCCAGACTAGATTCTGAGGCTCATATTCCAAATAATCCTACATATAATAGGATCACTGAGAGACACAGAGATAAATCAGGGACTTCAAAAAGCAAAGGCATAAACACACAGAGAATGAGCCAGAGGAAGGGGATTGAGAGACTCACAGACACACAAAAAGAAAGAAAAGAGGGCAGAGGAGTGGAGAGAATGCTGGAAGGGAGGAGAGAAAAGCCCCAAAATCAGAACCCTGAGGGAGGGGCACAAAGACAGAGAAAGATAAAGATGTGGGGATGGATTGCAGAGATTCCAAATAGAACTAGAGAGACTGAGAGGCAGAGAAAGACAAGGAGATGGAGAGAGACAGATGATAGATGGATAGATAGATATAGATAGATGATAAATAGGTAGATGATAGATAATGGATAGGTTATAGATACATAGATGATGATTGATAGATGATACATAGAGATGATGATGATGATGATGATGAAGATAGATAGATAGAAGACACATATATAAATATATAGATACATAGATGATACATAGAGACTGACAGGCAGACAGAGAGGTAATAGAGAGAGAGAGAGATGATACATAGATACAGATAATACATAGATGATTGATGGATAGACAGATAGACAATTGATAGATAAATGATACATAGATATAGATGACAGATAATTTGTAGATAGACACAAAATAGATAGATAGATAATAGATAGAAATATGCAGAAAGTTATGAACAAGACAGAAAGTGAGAGACTCAGAATTATAGAAAAAGGAAGATCAAGTCAACCAATCCAAGGAGAGTCAGAGAGAATAAAACAATCCAAAAAGGGAAAGCATACCCAGGGGTGGGGAAGTGAGGTCAGAGACCTAGAGAGACAGAGAAGGCGGAAGGAGGAAATAGACATGAAGAGAGTTGGGGTGGAGGGTGAGAGAGAGAGAGAGCATTAGGTCATAGAGCAGGGGAGTGAGTTCTCAGCTCAGGTATGAGGGGAGCTGTGACAAGGAAGAACCTCCCTGAGGAAACTGCCTCTTCTCCTTCCAGGTCTATATGAGAAACCTTCTCTCTCAGCCCAGCCGGGCCCCACGGTTCAGGCAGGAGAGAACGTGACCTTGTCCTGTAGCTCCTGGAGCTCCTATGACATCTACCATCTGTCCAGGGAAGGGGAGGCCCATGAACGTAGGCTCCGTGCAGTGCCCAAGGTCAACAGAACATTCCAGGCAGACTTTCCTCTGGGCCCTGCCACCCACGGAGGGACCTACAGATGCTTCGGCTCTTTCCGTGCCCTGCCCTGCGTGTGGTCAAACTCAAGTGACCCACTGCTTGTTTCTGTCACAGGTGAGGAAAACCCGTGTCTGTCCCATGTCTTATGATCCTAGAGCCATAGCTGAGGAGCTTCCTGCCGATGATGGGGAGAAGCATGGACAGATGCAGAGAGAACACGAAGACTGGGTGTGAGGGGGGGGTCAGGGTGCAGGATGGCAGACAGGGCACCTCCAAACCCTCTTGCATGGCCTGCATGGAGGCCCATGGTCAGGGCTCCAGGCACCCAGGCAGATGGAGAAAGCGGTCAGGACAGACCCAGAGAAGGGGAGACTGGGCTCAGTTTGGGGAGATCAGAGGTTCCCTCAGCCCCTCAACCTTACCCATTTCCCAGAAGCCCATCCTGGCCTCTCACCCACACAGAGAGATGTCATCACCAGCAACCCCTACACTCTTTTCTTTTCATTTTCAAAAATATTTATTGAGGTTAAATGTAACTATATAATTTACCAACTTTACCATTTTTAAAAGTAAAATCTAGTGGTCATAAATACCTTTATATGCTGGGTGTGGTGGTTCACGGTTGTAATCTTGGCGCTTTGAGAGGCCAAGAAAGGTGGATCATTTAAGATCAGGGACTCGAGATCAGCCTGGCCAACATGCGGGAAATTCATCTTTACTAAACAGACAAGAAAAATTAGCCAAGCATGCCGGCATGCACCTGTAGTCCTAGCTACTTGGGAGGCTGAGGCAGGAGAAGCACTTAAAGCCAGGAGGCAGAGGTTGCACTGAGCCGAGATCATGCCACTGCACTGCAGCCTGGGAGACAGAGAGAGACTCTGTTTCTAAATAAATAAATACATCTATATTCTTTTTTTTGTTACCCTCCACCCTTCCCTTCCTGGCCTCTGGTATCCACCATTCTATTCTCTACCTTCATGAGATCCACCTTTTATCTCCTGCATGTGGTGAGAAATGGGAATCTTTGTAATGACCTCGAGTTCCATCCATGTGGCTGCAAATGACAGGATGTTATTGTTTCTATGGATGAGTAGTCTCCACCGTGTGTGTGTACTACAGTTCTCTATCCATTCACCCACTGATAGGCAGGTAGGTTGACTCCACATCTTGGCTACTGTGAACAGTGCTGGAACAGTCATATGAGTGCAGATATCACTTCGATACACTGATGTCCTTTCCTTTGGATATAAACCCAGTAGTGAAATTGCTGGACACTATGAAAGTTCTCTTTTTTTTTTTTTCTTTTTTGAGAAAGAGTTTCCCTCCTTAGTCCAAGCTGGAGTCAAAGTGGTGCGATCTTGGCTCATTGCAACCTCTGCTTCCTAGGTTCAAACGATTCTCCTGACTCAGCCTCCCTAGTAGCTGTGATTACAGGTGCACGCCACCATGCCTGACTAATTCTTGTATTTTTTAGCACAGACGGGATATCCCAATTTTGGGCAGGCTGCTCTCAAACTCCTGACCTCAAGTGAGGTGCCTGCCTCGGTTTCCCAAAGTGCTGAAGTTACAGGCATAAGCCACTATGCCCAGCCTGCTTTTAGTTTTTTAAAGATTTTCCATACTTTTCTCCATAATAGTTGTACTAATTTACATTCCTACCAACAGGGTACCAGGGTTCTCCTTTCTCTACCATCTTGCCAGCATTTGTTTTGCCTGTCTTGCAGATAAAAGCCATTTTACTTTACTTTATTTATTTATTTATTTATGTTGAGATGGAGTTTCACTCATAGTCGCCCAGGCTGGAGTGCAAGGGTGTGATCTCGGCTCACTGCAACCTCTGCCTCCCGCGTTCAACTGATTCTCCTGCCTCAGCCTCCAAAGTAGCTGGGATTACAGGCATGTGCCACCACGCCTAGCTAATTTTTGTATGTTTAGTAGAGAGGGAGTTTCTCCATGTTGGTCAGGCTGGTCTCCCGACCTCAGGTGATCCGCCCACCTCCGCCTCCCAAAGTGCTGGAATTACAGGCGTGAGCCACCGGCCTAAAAGGCATTTTAATGGGATGAGATGAAAACTCATCGCGATTGTAATTTACATTTCTGTGATGATGAGTGATGCTGAGCACTTTTTCATATACGTGATCGCCATTTCTATGTTTTGTTTGTGGAGAAATGTCTCCTCATGTCTTTTGCTCGTTTTTTAATTAAATTGTTTTATTGAGTTGTTTGAGCTTCTTATATTTCCAGTTATTAATCCCATCTCAGATGAATAGTTTGCAAATATTTGCTCCTATTTTGTGGGTTGTCTCTTCACTTTGTTGGTTTATCTTTGGTGGTGCAGAAGTTGCTTGGTTTGATGTAATCCTAATGGTCTATTTTTTGCTTTGATTACTTGTGTTTTGAAGGTTTTAAACAAAATGTCTTTCGTCAGACAAATGTCTTCCCCATTATTTTCTTCTACATGTTTCATAGGTTCAGGCCTTAGACTCATGTTTTTAATCCATTTTCATTTGATTTTTGTGTAAGGTGACAGGTATAGATGCAGTTTTATTCCTCTGCATGTAGATATCCAGTTTTCCCCACACCATTTATTGAAGACTGTCCTTTCCTGATTGTAAGTTCTCGGCACCTTTGTCAAAGTCCATTAAATGGGCTGGGTATGGTGGCTCACACCTGCAATTCCAGCACTTTGGGAGGCCGAGGCAGGTGGATCACCTAAAGCCAGGAGTTCAAGACCAGGCTGGCCAACAGAGTGAAACCTCGTCTCTACTAAAAATACAAAAATTAGCTGAGCATGGTGATCAGTGCCTGTAATACCACTACTCAGGAGTTTGAAGCAAGAGAATTTCTTGAATCCAGGAAGTGGAGGTTGCATTGAGCTGAGATTGCACCTCTACACTCCAGCCTGCATGACAGAGCAAGATTCTATCACACACACACAAAAGAAAGCCATTGGATGTAAATGCATGGATTATATCTGTGTTCTCCATTCTGTTCCATTTTTTATGTGCCTTTCTTTATGCCAATGTCATGCTGTTTTGCTTACTACAGCTCTGTAACATATTTCTAAGTCAGGTAGTGTGATGCTCCTGTTTTCTCTTTATACCTTCAAGTCTCAAGACAGTGGGCATCGCACACAAAAATTATGGAGAAAAGGATCCCAAGACTCCCAGGGTCCAACATTAGATAACAGAGTGTTGGCCATGAACCAACCTCAAAGATTTCCATTGAGTAGAGGACAAGCACCCTCATTTCCTCACATCTCTCCTGTCCCGTGTTCTAGGAAACCCTTCAAGTAGTTGGCCTTCACCCACAGAACCAAGCTCCAAATCTGGTGAGTAAAGGACCCCTCTTATCTCTGCTTTTGGAAACCTGGGGAGGTGGAAGCCTTGGATGCAAGTGTTGGCTCAAACCTCCCAGCTCTGTGAATGAGGGCCTGTCTTCCACCATCTCTGAACTCCAGACACTCCAACAGTGAAAGGGATCTAGGGCCACCAAAGGGCTCAGCGAAGTCTCTTTACCTTTAATTTCCTGCAGGTGAGACCTCCTACAAGCTAGAAGAATAATTGCCAATCTGACATCCTTCTCAGGAAAAATGCAGTGTTTTTTCTGCCTGCATTCCTAACTGGAGGATAAATTCCCGGGGGCTTGAGAGAGGGAAGGGAAGGGAACATCTGATGAGGGTGGGTGTTTTAGAGAAGTTCCACTTGCCAAGGAATGAATTACTGTTGGTCATCAGGCAACCCTGGCTGACTCAGCAGAGCAAGAGCCTTGCCGTAACAGAGAACAGAGCTCATGCACGCACACTTCGACTCACTGACTCATTCAGCCACGGCCCCATGCTCAGGCTGTGCAGTGTGGAAGCTTTTCCTATTGTTGCCATAACAAATTTCCACAAGATTCGTGGGTGAAAACAAAACGGTTATTTAATTATCTTACAGTGCTGTAGCTCAAAGCATGACGTGCATGTCACTGGGCTAAAATCAAGGTGACAGCAAGGCTGCCTTCCCTCTGAGGGTTCCAGGCAAGAATCTGCTTCTCACTTTTCTCAGCTTCTAGAGGCTCCCATGTTCCTTGGCTCCTGGTACCCTTCCTCCTTCCTCAAAGCCCACAAAGACTGGTCACATCTCACATGGCATCACTCAGACCCTTCTTCCTTACCACACCTCTTTCTCTGAATGCTGCTCTCCCTTCTTGCCCTTCTTTTGAAAACTTGGGGATTCTATTGGGTTCACCAAGATGAAAATCCATCATAATCTCCCGGAAATCATCCAGGATACCCTCCTTTTAAGTTCAGCTGACTAGCAACCATAATTCCATCTGCAATCTTCATTCCTCCTTTCATGTAAAATAACATATTCACAAGCTATGGAGGCTAGGACATGGACATTTTTGGGGTGGGACAACATTCTCCTGCCTTCCACAAACAGTGAACAAGATGCATTTGGCCTCTGTTCTTGGGACACTGATCTTGCAGATGGTTAAATGGGAGGGCAGAAAATGTAGGCACAAGGGGACCAATAAATGAATGATCTATTGAGAAGCATCTGTGCATGAAATCTATTTATTTATGTATTTACCTACTTGTTTATTGAGACGGAGCCTTGCTCTGTCGTCCAGGCTAGAGTGCAGTGGCATGATCTCGGCTCACTGCAACCTCCACCTCCTGGGCTGAACTGATCTCCTCCCTCAGCCTCTCCAGTAGCTGGGATTACAGACCACAACCACCACGCCCGGCTAACTCTTTTTGCATATTTTCTGTAGAGAGGATGTTTCACCATGTTGGCCAGGCTGGTCTCAAATTCCCAACCTCAGGTGATCCAATAGCCTCTGCCTCCCAACACGCTGGGATAAGAGGCATGAGCCACGGGGCCAAGCCAAATTTTCAAATCAATAATAGATAATGCTGAGTGTATGATTTCAGGTGACAGAGAAGTTCTCACTAATCAGATATTTGTGACATTAATGAAAAACACGGATTGAACCCCTGGAAGATTGGCAGAAGGATTTTCCACACAGCTGTCAGCCGTGAAGGCACAAAGGTGAAAACAATCTGATGTGGAAGGAAGAGGCTCTGCCTGAAATGCCGGGAATGAGATGGGGAGAATGACAAGACGACTGTGGAGAGACGGAGAGCACACTGGGTACACAGGAAACTAAGGAGCAACAAGGAGTGTGTGTTTGACACTCACAGCCCTTGGATTCACCTCGGGGTAACCAGGAATCCCTACATGATTAATATGACTGACATGAAAATAAGGGAGGCTCAGGTGCATAACTGGAATCTAGGAGACCGTGGAAAAGGCAATTGCCGCCCCACTGGTGAAATGTGGTGCTGATTTAGACACTAAATGAATGAAGTAGATGGATATAAGATATGTTTGTGAGGTAGAATCATTGACTGGAAACGCTTACTGGGTTTAATTTTTCCTGGTAGTTTAATCCTCGCTTCACTAACTTATTTCTGAGATTTATTTCTCCTGCATCTAAATCAATACCTGGCAGAGGAGGGAGAGCTAGATGAGGGGTGGTGCAAATGAAGGGACCTAGTATAGCATAATATACAAGGCTGTGAACGGTGGCTCACGCCTGTAACCCAGCACTTCAGGAGGCCAACGCGGGTGGATCACATGAAGTCAGGAGTTCGAGACCAGCCTGGCCAACATGGAGAAACCCTATCTCTACTAAAAATACAAAAATTAAACAGGCATGATGGTGGTGCATGACTGTAATCCCAGCTACTCTGGAGGAGGAAGCAGGAGAATGACTTCAGCCCTGGAGGCAGAGGTTGCAGTGAGTGGAGATCGCATCACTGCACACCAGCCTGGGCTACACAGGGATACTCTGTCTCAAAAAATAAAAATAAAAAATACATAAATATAATAATATACACAAATGATGCAGGCACCTGAATTCCAATCATCATTTTTCTATTCCTCTATAATTACTTCTTTGATCCTTTATCTTATCCATTAGAAAATCAGCCTAAAACCTCTTCCATATTTGGCTTTCTGTGAACATGAGATCATATGGAAAATATGAAAGCCCCCCTGAACCCACCAGCACAGGCCCTGAAATAGGGAAAGTACTCTGTTCATCACAAGAAACTTTCCCCCTCACCCAAATCCCCCACCTCACCCCTACTTCCAATCACCTGTGGAGATACAGATAGATCATGGGGAGGTAAACGCTAATACTCCTTGGAGTGAGTTCAGATCTTGGAATCAGAGATCAGCACCAGCACTAGCTCCTGCTCCCCTTTCCTACTAATTCACAGGAGGACAGGTGGTTTTGAAGCAATAGATGGTGGAGGGGGTGGTCTTTCCCCCAGCCTCTCAGGTGGAACAGCAGCCTAACATGTGTCTCGCGAGATCACAAAGAGTAGCACGTTTCACATGGGCTTCATCATTATTTCCTGGCTGTTTGACATAAGAGAATTCTACTTTGCTTTTTTGATCTTGATTTCACTTTTGTGTCCTTTTCTTGGAGAATGTAATTTGAGTCAAGAGGGTTGTGGATGTAGAAACTGTAAAGCACATTCACTGTGTATCAATCCCAGTCCAGTCTTTCCAGAGAAGACTCTAAACACCTGCTGTACTGCACCTGGGCCTATGCCAATTTCTATCACTCACCGTCACTCCAGGGAGACAGAACACACAGAGAATACGTTACATAGGCAGGTTCATTACTAACAGATAAGCAGCGAGTGACAACAGAAGCCTACATTTCAACGTGAGCCAGTCCCTCAAGGCTCAGAAAAGCTGCTCGGGACATATGGAGTCACCTCATTTGCAGTGTATCTGGGGGAAGCCAGAAAATAGCCCAGCCTGGGTTTTGTACCCTGAAGCCACAGGAAGCACTCAGCTAAAGCACTGCATGACGTCCTCCTCCAGGAAGAACAGGAAGACAGCACAGGCTGTTCTGAGACGTTCCTCCTGATCTCAGGACGTTGCTGTCTTAGTCCATTTTTGTTGCTATAAAAGAACACTTGAGCCTGGGTTACTTCTTTTTTTTTTTTTTTTTTTTTTGTATAGTGCTTCTGATGAGCTTTTTTTTAAAATTTTTATTATTATTATACTTTAAGTTTTAGGGTACATGTGCACAATGTGCAGGTTAGTTACATATGTATACATGTGCCATGCTGGTGTGCTGCACCCATCAACTCGTCATTTAGCATTAGGTATATCTCCTAATGCTATCCCTCCCCCCTCCCCCCACCCCACAACAGTCCCCAGAGTGTGATGTTCCCCTTCCTGTGTCCATGTGTTCTCATTGTTCAATTCCCACCTATAAGTGAGAACATGCGGTGTTTGGATTTTTGTCCTTGTGATAGTCTACTGAGAATGATGATTTCCAATTTCATCCATGTCCCTGCAAAGGACATGAACTCATCATTTTTTATGGCTGCATAGTATTCCATGGTGTATATGTGCCACATTTTCTTCATCCAGTCTATCATTGTTGGACATTTGGGTTGGTTCCAAGTCTTTGCTATTGTGAATAGTGCCACAATAAACATACGTGTCCATGTGTCTTTATAGCAGCATGATTTATAGTCCTTTGGGTTTATACCCAGTAATGGGATGGCTGGGTCAAATGGTATTTCAAGCTCTAGATCCCTGAGGAATCGCCACACTGACTTCCACAATGGTTGAACTAGTTTACAGTCCCACCAACAGTGTAAAAGTGTTCCTATTTCTCCACATCCTCTCCAGCACCTGTTGTTTCCCGACTTTTTAATGATCGCCATTCTAACTGGTGTGAGATGGTATCTCATTGTGGTTTTGATTTGCATTTCTCTGATGGCCAGTCATGGTGAGCATTTTTTCATGTGTTTTTTGGCTGCATAAATGTCTTCTTTTGAGAAGTGTCTGTTCATGTCCTTTGCCCACTTTTTGATAGGATTGTTTGTTTTTTTCTTGTAAATTTGTTTGAGTTCATTGTAGATTCTGGATATTAGCCCTTTGTCAGATGAGTAGGTTGCGAAAATTTTCTCCCATTTTGTAGGTTGTCTGTTCACTCTGATGGTAGTTTCTTTTGCTGTGCAGAAGCTCTTTAGTTTAATTAGATCCCGTTTGTCAATTTTGGCTTTTGTTGCCGTTGCTTTTGGTGTTTTAGACATGAAGTCCTTGTCCATGCCTATGTCCTGAATGGTAATGCCTAGGTTTTCTTCTAGGGTTTTTATGGTTTTAGGTCTAACGTTTAAGTCTTTAATCCATCTCAAATTAATTTTTGTATAAGGTGTAAGGAAGGGATCCAGTTTCAGCTTTCTACCTATGGCTAGCCAGTTTTCCCAGCACCATTTATTAAATAGGGAATCCTTTCCCCATTGCTTGTTTTTCTCAGGTTTGTCAAAGATCACATAGTTGTAGATATGTGGCATTATTTCTGAGGGCTCTATTCTGTTCCATTGATCTATATCTCTGTTTTGGTACCAGTACCATGCTGTTTTGGTTACTGTAGCCTTGTAGTATAGTTTGAAGTCAGGCAGCATGATGCCTCCAGCTTTGTTCTTTTGGCTTAGGATTGACTTGGCAATGCAGGCTCTTTTTTGATTCCATATGAACTTTAAGGTAGTTTTTTCCAATTCTGTGAAGAAAGTCATTGGTAGCTTGATGGGGATGGCATTGAATCTATAAATTACCTTGGGCAGTATGGCCATTTTCACGATCTTGATTCTTCCTACCCATGAGCATGGAATGTTCTTCCATTTGTTTGTATCCTCTTTTATTTCATTGAGCAGTGGTTTGTAGTTCTCCTTGAAGAGGTCCTTCATATCCCTTGTAAGTTGGATTCCTAGGTATTTTATTCTCTTTGAAGCAATTGTGAATGGGAGTTCACTCATGATTTGGCTCTCTGTTTGTCTGTTATTGGTGTATAAGAATGCTTGTGATTTTTGTACATTGATTCTGTATCCTGAGACTTTGTAGAAGCTGCTTATCAGCTTAAGGAGATTTTGGGCTGAGACAATGGGGTTTTCTATATATACAATCATGTCATCTGCAAACAGGGACAATTTGACTTCCTCTTTTCCTAATTGAATACCCTTTATTTCCTTCTCCTGCCTAATTGCCCTGGCCAGAACTTCCAACACTATGTTGAATAGGAGTGGTGAAAGAGGGCATCCCTGTCTTGTGCCAGTTTTCAAAGGGAATGCTTCCAGTTTTTGCCCATTCAGTATGATACTGGCTGTGGGTTTGTTATAGATGGCTCTTATTATTTTGAGATACGTCCCATCAATGCCTAATTTATTGAGAGTTTTTAGCATGAAGCGTTGTTGAATTTTGTCAAAGGCCTTTTCTGCATCTATTGAGATAATCGTCCGGTTTTTGTCTTTGGTTCTGTTTATATGATGGATTACATTTATTGATTTGCATATATTGAACCAGCCTTGCATCCCAGAGCCTGGGCAACTTCTAGAGAAAACAGATTTGTTTGCCTCACAGTTCTGCAGGCTGTACTGGAAGCATGGCACCAGCATCTGTTTCCTGTGACGGCCTCAGGCTGCTCCCACTCTGGCAGAAGGGAAGGAGGGTCTGTCTGTGCAGAGACCACAGAGATCACATGGCAAGAGAGGGAGCAAGGGGGAGGGCGAGCGATGGAGCTTCCAAGCTCTTTTTAACAACCAGCCCTCCGGGAACTAATAGAGGGGGAACTTGCTAACCCCATCATGTGGGGCAGCATTAATCTATTCATGATGGATCCACCTCCATGACTCAAACACCTTCCCATAGGCCCAAACTTCCACACTGGGGGTTAAATTTCAATATTTCAGTGTGAGGTTTCAAAGGGTCAAACATCTAAACTAAAGCAGCTGTATCCTCAGCATGTTCTATGGTTTCTATGAGAGCTGTAACTGAGAAAGCAGGAGAAAGCTGGGTCTCCCGCCATCAGGCTGCTTGTCCTAAGGAGATGTTCCATGTGGTTACCTGTCAATCAAGAAATGAGACAATCCATAAAGAGGAACTGCTATGATTAGCTTCTTATTGGATTCCCATCTTCCTCCAGGTATCTGCAGACACCTGCATGTTCTGATTGGGACCTCAGTGGTCATCTTCCTCTTCATCCTCCTCCTCTTCTTTCTCCTTTATCGCTGGTGCTCCAACAAAAAGAGTAAGTCTCACGAAGCAGAGGCCAGAGAGCTCAGGGCCATGTGGGGAAGCAGGATGGGAGCACGCGGGTGTGTGTTCCTCACTGGCAGGATGGTCCCTGGCCCAAGGGAGGAGCCACAGAGGCAGGGCTTTCTAGAGAGAGCACCAGACAACCTGCCCCTGCCTTCAGCTCACAGACCATTGCCTGGTTCTGAACTGTATCCTCACATCCCCTGCAGCCACTGACATCCAGAAGCTTCCATGACAGGCAGAAAGTGGGAGACAGAATCAATGGGATGCCAATTGAGAGCACTTCATGGGATGGGGTCTTGAACTCAGAGAGATAGAATGTCTGAGTCTGGATGTTGGCAGCTGAAGAGCCTCAGGCACCTACAGCCTCCCCCTGTGGGTTGGTGTCTGCCCATGAAATGAGGACCCAGAAGGGCCCTCCAAGCGGTTTTGATGACTTCCGTCTCCTACAGATGCTGCTGTAATGGACCAAGAGCCTGCGGGGGACAGAACAGTGAATAGGCAGGTAGGTCCTCCTCGGCCCAGCCTCACGGATACAGTCTTATCCCTAATAGTCCTGAAAAATGTGAGCACCCTCCCTCACTCAGCATTTCCCTCTCTCCAGGACTCTGATGAACAAGACCCTCAGGAGGTGACGTACGCACAGTTGGATCACTGCGTTTTCATACAGAGAAAAATCAGTCGCCCTTCTCAGAGGCCCAAGACACCCCTAACAGATACCAGCGTGTACACGGAACTTCCAAATGCTGAGCCCAGATCCAAAGTTGTCTCCTGCCCACGAGCACCACAGTCAGGTCTTGAGGGGGTTTTCTAGGGAGACAACAGCCCTGTCTCAAAACCAGGTTGCCAGATCCAATGAACCAGCAGCTGGAATCTGAAGGCATCAGTCTGCATCTTAGGGGATCGCTCTTCCTCACACCACGAATCTGAACATGCCTCTCTCTTGCTTACAAATGCCTAAGGTCGCCACTGCCTGCTGCAGAGAAAACACACTCCTTTGCTTAGCCCACAAGTATCTATTTCACTTGACCCCTGCCCACCTCTCCAACCTAACTGGCTTACTTCCTAGTCCTACTTGAGGCTGCAATCACACTGAGGAACTCACAATTCCAAACATACAAGAGGCTCCCTCTTAACACGGCACTTACACACTTGCTGTTCCACCTTCCCTCATGCTGTTCCACCTCCCCTCAGACTATCTTTCAGCCTTCTGTCATCAGTAAAATTTATAAATTTTTTTTATAACTTCAGTGTAGCTCTCTCCTCTTCAAATAAACATGTCTGCCCTCATGGTTTCGATAATGTGACTCTTTATTCGCCAAAAGTTTCCAGTGTTATCATTACTATGTCCATATAACCTGATATGTTCTCTACTGGGTTCTCAGCCCTGGACTCTGAGCTTCTGGAAGCAGGGTGGAGCCTCATTTGTCTCTGGGACTCCAATTTCCATCCAAAGATGCAGCACATAGGAGGTTCCAAGGATCGTGAATCACATGAACAAGTGATATTCTTACTCTCTGCAGACCTGGAAAGCTGGCAGAGTCATTCCAAGATGAAACATTTGTAGAGTCATAGGCCTTGTTAGTCTCATCTCCACAGGGACACATGTCAACACATCATCTTTCATACTATAAATATACAGTCGCTCCTCCATATCTGTGGGGTTTACAGGTGTTTATTGAACCAAATATAAATCAAAAATATTCAGAGAAAAAATCCACAAAGTTCCAAAAAGCAAAAATACTATATTGTGTGGACACAAGTGAGGTGGTGTGTAGGCTGTATCAGGAATTATAAGTAATCTAGAGATGATTTCATGTATACAGGAGGATGTGCATGGGTTATATGCAAACGCTGTGCCATTTCATGCAACAGGCTTGAGCATCTGCAGATTTTGGTGTCTGGTAGGGAGGGGGGTTTCCTGGAACCAATCACCCATGAATAGTGAAGGACAACTGTATATAATTTTCATTCATCAATTTTATAAATAAATCATCAAAATGTATGATAATAAGATAAAAAATTAGCAGTGTTTTTATGGTGTGAAAATAAGCTTAGATTTATTTTTTCCTGCTTGTAACCCTCTGGTCCAATGTTATTTACTGAGAAGACATTCTATTCCACCTTAATCCGCATGGCAGCCTCTGTCAACTATAAAAGGACTGTGTGTACACAGATGTATTTTACACACTCTTTTCTGCTCAGTGGCTCTCTGTGTCCACTCTCATGAGGATGCTGCACTTTATGTGGCCTTATAGAACCCCTTAAAATTTGGCAGCCTGAATCCTCTAATTTCTCCTTCCTCTTTAAGATTGCCATTATTATTATTATTGGCTATTTGCTTTTCCATGTAAATTTGTAATCATTTTTCTCATTTCCACCAAAAACAATGCTTGTAATTTTGTTGTGACTCCCTTACATCTACAGGTAAGTTCTGTCCTATAGAAACATAATGCAAACCACATGCATTCTTTCAAACTTGCTAGTATCCAAATTAAAAAGCTAACAAGAAACAGATAAAATTAATTTAAGTTAACCCAATGGACCCAAAATATTATTAACCCAACAGACCCAAAATATTAACCTAATAGATCCAAAATATTATTTTATTATACAAGTAGACTCAAAATATTATCATTTCAACATGTAATCATGTGTCATCTTGGAAAACATCAGATCCCTGTCTAGGTGGGCAAAGATTTTTCTTCGTAATATCTCATTTCCACATTTCCACTTGGCACAGAAACTGCCCCCAAGGCTCAGGATACTAAGATGCAGTAGGAATGGGTAGATGTATCTGGAGGAAAGTGACTGAATGAAATTGAGACATCAGAGTCTGGGAAACTCACTAGAACTACAGGGACAGTGTGGGGGAGGGAATTGGGAGATGTTGATCAAAGGATACAAACTATCAGGTATTCAGGAGGAATGGGTCTGAAGATCTCTTGTACAGCTTTGCCACTATGGTTGACAATACTGTACTCTATACTTGAAATTTACCAGGAAAGTAGA